>NC_000005.10:86170413-86473443 GCF_000001405.40 Homo sapiens
AAAATTATCTGAAGTCTAAAATAATTACTTTTGTTAGAAACTTTACATTTTTCGTATTCTAAGTGGTGTGCATATTCTAAATCTTGACATTTTTCACATTCTAAATGATGTGCAAATATAGTGAATCCAGTAATTCTAAAGTTTTGGGGATAGGGTGTTTAATTGTTCAAGGAATCATACTTTATTTACATTTCAAACATATACTCGGTAAGTATAGGTGTAGATGGAGGAATCGGAAGAGTAAGAGGGTTGGAAGATGATGAGGAAGCTGTTTATAATGTATCAGGAGAAATTGCCTGTACATTTACAGTGTGTTATGGAATAGCAACCCATATCATATTATAAAAATCTCTAGGAAAATATTTATTAAAATATCTATTTAAAATAATATCATAATTAGTGTCTTAGTCAGCTTAGGCTGCCATAACAAAATACCATAGACTGAGTAACTTAAACAATGGAAATTTACTTCTCACAGTTCTGGAGGCTGAAAAGTTTAAAATCAAAGTATCAGCATGGTCAGATTTTGGTGAAGACTCTCCTCCTGGTTTGCAGATGGCCACCTTTCCACACTGTGTCTCCACACGGTGGAGAGAGTGAGCTCTGGTGTCTCTTCCTCTTATTATAAATCACCAAATCTATTGTATTAGGTCTCTGCCTTTATGACCTCATTTAACTTTTAGCACCTCTTCACAGGCCCTGTCTTCAAATACATTAGTGGTTAGGACTTCAACATACGAATTTCGGGGAGACACAAACATTTGCTCTATAACAATATGTAAAAGGCTATTAACTGAAATAAAGATTCTTTGATCCCAGGAGCTAGCCAATAACAGGCCACTGGAAAAATCAATTGAAAAAGTGCCAATTGATTATATATTGCATGTGACTCTCATTTTAGTGGCTATTTATATTCAGAGAAAGATCAGAAACAGAAATTCCAATGACCGGGGCAGGGGGTTCCTTTGAGATAACTTATATAGATAATAAAACCCTGTGAAGATGGCATAAAATCTGAATTTTGAACAGTCACTATGCTTTAGATGAATTAATATGGGGAACAAGAATATATTCCAAACCATCAATATCTTGAAATTTAGAATCGCTTGAAGACAATCCTATTGCCAAGGAATGTAGTTGAAAAACTTGAGCCATGGATTATTGAGGGGAATTACCAGATTTATCAGGATGGCAGATAAACGTCTAGGGAAATAGTGCTCAATGCAGCCTTATAAAGGTAGCAATAAAACATTAGAAGGAATTGGAGAATTGGGATACATAAACTTCAGTCATCAAAAAAAAAAAAGTAGCAGAAAATAAGGCGAGGGGATTATCCTTTCACTCACCCCACTGTCTTTGTTATTTTTTTTTTCCCCATCACAGATCTCATTTTGTTCTCTACCAAATCTTATGTTTAGCTTGATGCATTTAAACTATATTGCAGTTTGGTTCTACTAAGAATGTATGCATACCGTTGTACTATTTGAGAAGAAGGAGAAAGAAAATTAGCAGAAAAATACTTTGTTGTTTCATGTTCTGCTTAATATGGCCTCAAATCAATATTTACTTTGAAAAATTTTAAATCGCTTGTGTCCAAAGATATTATAAATCTCTAGCTTTCAGGGATATCTGTTTTTTTAACTCATAAAAATAATTATTAATGCTAGTGCTTGTGGGTGCAAATTAAGATCTTTATTCTGCTAGCTTAAAAGTCATTTGATTGCTTTCATTCTTTCCTATATGCACAGACAAATGCCATTCATGCTTCTTTTCCATATAGTAGCCTAGCAACTGCAAATTTCAAGAACTTTTTATAATTACATTCTCTGAATAATTTTAAAAGTATGTCACCCTCTCAAATCCAAGAGAATACTGCTAGTTGGCCTTGCAAATGACCAAGGCCATCATTCTTACTTGTTAGAAATTTAGCTTGGTAATCTTTCTGTGTTGTCAAGAAGTTCAGTCTGATGTCCCAAAATACCAAACCTCCACTTATAAAAATATTCGGAACCAAAAGAAAATCAAAGAATAACACAGTTTGTACTCTAGAGGACAGTAATACTGCTCCCTGGTTTCTGGATTTTTGAAAGATGAATAATGCAGTCAATGTACTCAGACAACAAAATTAAATCAGTTACAAGCTCTGAGAAATGTACACAAAAATACAAATACATGAGCAAGACTCAAATAAGATTGATTTCCAAAAGTCACAAAATAAAATATATTTTGAATTTGAGTTAACGCAGGCTTAAGAATTAATTTAGAAAGATAATTATCATAGATGATGATGAAAGTAGAAAGTTGTTACCTCACATAGGGAATATTTTAAATTACTATTTTCCTAGAAAGTAGAGTTGCTAGGAATAAAACACAGGCTCTCAGTTAAAGTTGAATTTCAAATAAACAACAAACAATTTTTTAGTGCAACTATGGCCTATAAATTACTTGGTATAAATATACCCCATGAATATTTGACATCTACTTACAGTAACAAAGATATTTACCATTTATCTGGAACTCAAATTTTACTAGGCTGTCAGGTATTTTTATTTGCTAAATGTGGAAACTCTACGAATAGAAGATTTTAAATAGGACTATAAAATAAATTAACTGGCTATCTTGCTTACATTAGGGACCTAATAAATGTCTGGTTAGCAGAACTTATACCTTTTATTTTAATTGATGCATCATAAGCTTAACTAGATACTTTAATCAGGAAATAATATGTGAAACAACTATGACTCATGAGCACGTTTTAGAATTATAATCTCTGAATAACTTATTTGTGCATATTTTTGTTTATTCAATGAATAACAACTTCTAGGAATAGTTAGCACATTCAGCTTTTCTTAGAATCATTTTTATACTTGATAGAAATAAAAATACTGTTAAAGAAAATGTCATGATGAATTAGAAAGGCAAGAACACTGCAGAAGGCTATAATCCTTTCAGATTTGAAGGATGGAATGAGACTGTGTCTGCAGGACTAGCTGCCCAATTGAATTGAGATGATGTAGCTGGACATTTAAAAAAGCACAGTAGTACATGCAGGGTCACATCACAGATTGAAATGAAAAAAGTCCTTGTTGTCATTTTTATTTCACCAATTGGAATAAGTTTTCAACTTGTGAAAAGTGCTGCACAAATCCTGGAAACTGAAATTCTTTACTAAAGCACAGGGAAGTGCAGGGCAATCAATGGCAATATCAGATTGAAGCTCATGCCTGTTAATAATGTGACTTAATCCTGATTTGGGGAAAAACATTATTTTGAGGATGAGAATATCAACCCTGAGCACTGCTCTGCGTTTCTACTGAAAGTAACAATTATTTCTTATCAGTGATGATATGGAGCCTTCCCAGGTGAAGGATGTGCAAGGATAATGGCCATGGTGGATGGGGAGAGGATGGGAGCAGGGTAAAAGCCAATTCTGCTGCAGCTAACATGCTGTGTCTAAACACTATGCAAGATAGCAGTTGTCATACAGTCTCAGCTTCTAATGCTGGGTCAGTAGCTTACTTGTGAAACTTGTATAAGTCGTTTTACCTGTCAGCTCTTTTTTTTTTTTTTTTTTTTTTGATAAATGAGAGGAACTTTAAGAGGTCTTTCAGCTCTTACCAACTTTGGTTATGCCATTGATAAGGACCTTTAAGAATTAGAATATTTAATTTCATTATTCTAATTGCTTTGGCTAATGAGTATATAAGTACTGAAATTTCATTTCCTGGGATAGTACATTTGGGGAAGATATTCTGTGTATTTCTAAGTCCCTATCCTATCTTTTTACACACTAAATTTTAGTCATTTATCCAAGTTGACTGGACCCATGCCATAGGTTTTACAAGAAACTGGACACTTAAAGACCTTAACAGTAGTTACCCAACTTAGGAACAGAGGCTTCTTTCAATAGACTTATGCTACAAAGCAGATGAGGAAGCATGCACTTCCAGCTGTTGGATTCTTTTGTGCCCATAACAGGTATGAAACTGTTATGCACGGATTTCACTGTGCATAACCTTCAACTTACTGATTCATATTAAAATGGTAATAACAAGTAAATGAAACTCCTATAAAATTGGTTTCAAGTTCAGGCAGACAGACATGGATCATCGCAGCTATGTGAACTTGGGCAAAGTATCTTGTCATCTTGTGCCTTTATTTAAAAATAAGCATAATAATTTACCTACCTTATATGATCATTGTGAATTTAATTGTAAACACTTGACAGAATGCAATCACATATTGAGTGCTTAATAAATACTAGCTGTTGCTACTATCATTACTGCCATTACCATTATCAAAATGATTATTTTTATTAGAAACCTGGAAGAAACTTAAGTAAGACTGTTGAAAAAATTCAGTTCTGCTTTTCTTTTTCATGTCCACTAACCCTATAATCTTCTGATGAGCATCAAGAAAATTATGTTTAAACAAATTGAGGAAAAGGAAAGCATTCCACTTTATGAGTATTTATGAGCTATTTATAAAATACACCTGAATATGTGAGAGATATATTGAGATGTGGCCTTTAAAAGAAAAGATGAACAGAGAAAGCAAATCTATTTGCCTGTACAAGTGCATGTAACCAGTAGACAATATGCAGTAATAAGTCATTTTTTGCATTTAATTTTAGTTATCTAATATAATTTTTCTATGTAAGACAAATACCTGTAGATACATTAGCTAAATATAGAATGATAATATAGACAGTCAGGTTCATCATGGGTATAATGCTTGTTAAATAAACATTAAATAAACTCTCTGTCTTGGTTTTGGCTCATGACATAATTTTAGGCCTGAAGTGCCTTCTTCTAGCCAGAGAAAGGCAATGAATAAACACGAAGTGTTAGGAAGTGAGGTAGGAGGCAGGGCTCAGACACTGGACAAAATTGAGTACTAGCTAAAACAGGGACAGGGCAGGAGTTTTCTATAAGACAAGCCCATAAGTGTGTCATGTCAGTTTATCATTGCCATGGCAACACCAGGAAGTTACCACTCCTTTCCATGGCAATGACCCAACAACCTGAAAGTTACCACACTTTTCTAGAAATTACTGCATAATCTACCTCTTAATTTGCATATAACTAAAAGTGGATATAAATATGACTGCAGAACTGCTTTTGAGCTGCTACTCTGGGCACACTGGCTATGGGGTAGCCCTGCTCTGCAAGGAGCAGTACCTCTGCTGCTGCTGTACACTGCCACTTCAATAAAACTTGTGGTCCACCACCACCTGCTCACGCTTGAATCCTTTCCTGGGCAAAGCCAAGAATCCTCCCAGGCTAAGCCCCAATTTAGGGGACCACCTACACTGTCAGAAGCTTACTTTCTGAGTTATTTCACTTAAAAGGATAATAATTTACCTATCTGATAGAATTGTTGTGAATTTAAGATAAAATTATCTTGCTTAAGATGAAGGTGAAATGACTCAGAAATAGAACATCAAATACCACATGATCTCACTTATAAGTGGGAGCTAAATAATGTGTACACATTTATATAGAGTTGTGGAATAGTAGACATTGGAAACTCAGCAGGGTGGGAGGAGGTGAGGGAATGAGAAATTATTTAGTGGGTACAACGTACACTATTCGAGTGATGGTTACACTAAATGTCCAGGCTTCATCACTATGCAATATATCCATGTAAAAAAAACTACACTTGTACCCCTTACATTTATAAAAATTTAAAAAGTCACATTGTAAAGTACTACATTGTTAGTTTCAGGGTAAAATGACTTAAAAGACCTAACTGGTTCCAAATGTCTCTTGTGTAAAGATTTCATGATGACTGAAATTCTCGTTATTAGACTCAATTCTTTGTGACGTAATAGAACTTTTCAGGAGCTTTTATTAATAGCTAGAGTTTTAATATAGAAATATCTGATAACTATTAGGAGCATCAGGAGCTCCTTTCTTTCCAATCTGTATGCATTTTGACATTTCTCAACGTTATTGCAATGGTTAATTAAGACCTTTAGTACAAGTTGAATGCACATATGAGTTTGTACATCTTTATGCTTACCTGATCTTAGACAATGACTTTCAGCCTCACCATTTAATAAGACTTTAAAGATACATTTTCGTAGATGCTCTCTACCATGTTGAGGCAGTTTGCTTCTATTCCTAGATGATAAGGTTTTTATTATGCATCATGTTAAATTTTGTCAAATATTTTCTACATCTGTTAAGATTATCAAATTATTGCCCTTGAAATTGTTTGATCAGTCAATATAGTGACTTACATTAATGAATTTCAGATGTCAAATCAAACCTGCTATCTTGGAATAAGCTATGTTTTGTTGTAACATATCATTTATTTTATATATTGCTGATTATAATTTGCTAATATTTTTAAAGGATTCGTGTCACTATATCCATGACAACAGTTGTCTGTAATGTTTTTGTTGGTTTATTTTTCTTAATAATACCTTTGGTGGTTTTTATTATCAGGATAATACTTACCTCATAAAATGAGCTGGAAACTGTGTTCTCCTTTTTTACTTTCTGGAAGATTTTATAAATAATAGATATTCCTTTTTCCTTTAACATTAGGTAGAATTCACCATGGAAGCTGTCTGGGTCAATGGCTTGCTATATTAGATGGATTTTTGTTTGATTGTTTAACTATAAATTGAATTTCATTAGTAAATGCAGATATATTTAAGTTATCTGTTTTGGGGTGAATTTTGCTAATCTGCATCTTTCAAAGAATATTTATATTTCTTCTAAGTTTGTCAACTATATCAACATAAAATTGTATTACTAATTTAATTCCCATAGAATACAACATGGAGCCTTGTCCACTCTCATCATGATATTGGTAGTTTGTGAATTAAATAATAACAATTAAAACATACGACATAGAAAAATTTTTTGTTAAGTAATGCATAGAAAAAAAACAGTATGTTCAAATGAAGAGGAGTTAAAAATCTAATCTTCAACCTCAAGAAGGTAGAAAATTAAATTAAAATAGGTTAAAGGAAAAAATAATGTGGATCGCAGAAATAATATTAACAGAATAATATTAATAAAATATTGACAAACTATTAGCCGGAATAATAAAAAGTAAAAGAAAACTAATAAAGCCAAAAGTTTGCTCTTTGAATACACTAATAAAATTAAGCCACTTTCAGTACATCTAATCAAGAGAGGCAGAAAAAATACAAGTTTATTTTGAACAAGAGGACTTCATTATGTACTTACAGAATTAAAGAGACAGTAAGCAGTTGTGTAGAAATTTTTGCTAATTTTAAAGAATTATAATAATATAAACTGTGTTTTTTGACCACAACAAAATTAAATTAGTTGTTGAAAAACAGCTAGAAATTCTGCAGATGCTTGCAAACTATGCAACATACTTCTAAATTTAAAAATATACACAAGAAATTGAAAAATGCTTTTAATGCAATAATGTTTAAAACAATAAATCATTTTTATTGTGTCTATTTGATTCTTCTCTCTTTTCTTCTTTATCAGTCTGGCTAGTGGTGTATTTTGTTAATCTTTTCCAAAAACCAGCTCCTGGGTTCATTGATTTTTTGAAGGTTTTCTTCGTGTCTCTATCTCCTTCAGTTCAGCTCTGATCTTAGTTATTTCTTGTCTTCTGCTAGCTTTGAATTTGTTTGCTCTTTCTTCTCTAGTTCTTTTAATTGTGATGTTAGGTTGTTGGTTTTAGATCTTTCCTGCTTTTTCCTATGGGCATTTAGTGCTATAAATTTCCCTCTAAACACTGCGAAGTATACAAACAAACGCTTCTCAAAAGAAGACATTTATGCAGCCAACAAACATATGAAAAAATGCTCATTATCACTGGTCATTAGAGAAATGCAAATCAAAACCACAATGAGATACCATCTCACGCCAGTTAGAACGATGATCATTAAAAAGTCAGGAAACAATAGATGCTGGAGAGGCTGTGGAAAAATAGGAACACTTTTACACTGTTGGTGGGAGTGAGTGTAAATTAGCTGAACCATTGTGGAAGACAGTGTGGCAATTACTCAAGGATCTAGAACCAGAAATACCATTTGACCCAGCAATCCCATTACTGGGTATATACCCAAAGGATTATAAATCATTCTACTATAAAGACATATCCACATGTATGTTTATTGCAGCACTATTCACAATAGCAAAGACTTGGAACCAACCCAAATGTCCATCAATGATAGACTGGATAAAGAAAATGTGGCACATATACACCATGGAATAGTATGCAGCCATAAGAAAAAAGAATGAGGTCATGTCCTTTGCAGGGACATGGATGAAGCTGAAAACCATCATTCTGAGCAAACTAACACAGGAACAGAAAACCAAACACTGCATATTCTCACTCATAAGTGGGAGTTGAACAATGAGAACATATGGAGACACAGAGGGGAACATCACACACTGGGGCCTGTCAGGGGATGGGGGGCTGACATTAGGAGAAATACCTAATGTAGATGATGGGTTAATGGGTGCATCAAACCACCATGGCACTATGTAACAAATCTGAATGTTCTGCACATGTATTCCAGAACTTAAAGTATAATTAAAAAAAAAACAAATTTGTGGTATGTAGCTAAAATAGGGCTTGTAGATGATTTTTATCATTAAGTGCTTATGTAAGAAAAAGAAGAAAAGTCCAAAATACATTTTTAAACACAATAGATTTTTTCCATTTTGTTATATACTCTGATTAGAAATAAATAAAATATTTGTATCTTTTTACATCTCTGAAATGCAGATTTCTTTGCATGTCAACAGTTTATATCAATATTAATCATCTATAATGTCTTTTACCTTCTCTGTGTGCATAATTTTCATTTTTCTCTGATCGTCACCTTCCAAAGCGCATAAATATTCAAAGCACTGTAGCTTCCTGTGCCAGCTTTCCCCACTCCCCATCATTTCCCCATTTTACTTAACTCTTTCAAATACATTGTTAATGATATTAAATAGTACCCTGGATGAGGAGATGAGTGGAAGTCAGAAAGCATTGCCATCTCAGGAATGGTGTTAAGCTACCTCCTTTGGAGCTCTTCAGCACTAGCAAGAGTGCTATTGAGTTGGACCCTCCCTTCAAATAGAAAACTGGCAATGGGGCCAGGAAAGGCAATAGCTTCTCCTCTTTTTTGAACACTTTTTAATATTCATATCATCTCTGGCCAATTACCTATTCAATGACGTATGATTCATGCATTTACATACTTAAATATTTTTTCAGGAACTATGTTTGTTAGATATGGGAATAAAATAATCCATTTTTACGTATTAAAAGCACTAATAAATGCCAGAAAAAAATAATTAATCAAGTACTATACAAATAATTTTTTAAAGAAAAGCTAACAAATGAAGATCTTTATAAACAATGCTGTCTTGTAAGTCCAAATTTTAAAATTCACTTCTGTCATAGTCTTCGTAAATAGTAATATGACATTTTCTCCCATTCCTCTATAACACACACATATATAGCTTTTAAGGAAAAAAAATAAGCACTTTGTCCAATTATAATTATTAGTATACTCTGCTCTGTCCACATGAAATCTTTGAAGGTAATTTTTTTTCTCTTGTTTACTAATAGAATCCTCTGATTCCTCTACTGTACAAACTAGTCATTTTCCTTTTTACGTAACTTCTCTTAGATCATACTGGCCATTCAGTTCTTTTTTAAAAAGGAGAGAGAGAGAGAGAGAGAAGCTTTTAATACCTTTGAATACTTTCCCTGACTTACTACAGGTAACTGGATGACCAATATGCCTCCATAAACATTTCAGCCTGAAGATTATTGATACTACATAGAGATACAGGGGCAGAAAAAGAGAACAACTTTTTAAAATTTTACATTTTTGGAAAATTGTTGAACTGTTCTTGTTTTGTGTAATCACTATAAATCATTTTCTCATCAAACATACCTTAGATATCTAAAAAAAAACCCGTTCCTTCTGAGAGACTGATATCTCACATAACGTATTTAATTGTGACAGTCTACTGATACAACTTTGTTGCTCTGTCATCTAGTACATTTCGTTTTTGTTACACCAAATATTTTAGCACAGTTATATATATAATAATAGACAAATACCATCCAAAGTCTTCCATTTTTAAAAAATAAAATACAATTAATTCTTTGATATATAATACAAAATTTATTCACCACTGAGAGTGAGCTTTAAATTACTTGTGCAGAAATTGAGATTGTTCATCATTACAAATAATTCCATCTGGCAGGGATTCACAGGAACCACTTCACACCATGACTCTTGATGAGTTGACTGTTCCTAACTGTGACATATCCTTTTATCTTAACTGGAAACCTCAGGAGGTAGGCTATGTTCATAATTGAAAACATAATTGAAAACAAAATATCACACAATGTCATTTGGAAAGTCAAAGTTATGATTTTCACATTTACTGTATTGAAGCAAAATTAACCATGAGCCAAAAATATACATGTCAAGCTTAGTAGTGTTTTAATAAGGCATGAACAACAGCACTGAGGAAAAAAGATAGTTGAAAATAAATTTCCTTTTTCAATATATTGCACGGTTTGTTCATAAAAAATGTTTTTGTTTCTGAAAGTAATTTGATCTTTTCTCTAGGTTTATATTTAGCAATGTTTAAGCATCATTATTTCTATCTCTACACTTTTATAGTATAGTCATTCAAAACACTGGCTCTGAAAAGTCTAACCAAACTGCTGTGGTTTGAATACTATTTCCACCTCTTACTAAATGCATGACCTTGGACAAGAATCATAATATCTTTTTATTTCTTTTATGTATTTCTTTATTTATTTACTCAGTAGGTTTTGGAGAGAACAGTTGGTGCTCGGTCACGTGAATCAGCAAGAAAAAAACAAGCAATCCCTTCAAAAAGGGGCCTAAGGACAAGAATAGCCAATTCTCAAAAGAAGATATACAAATGGCCAACAAACATATGAAAAAATGTTCAGCATCACTAATGATCAGGAAAATGCAAATCAAAACCACAATGTGATACCATCTTTCTCCTGCAAGAATGGCCATAATCAAAAAATCAAAAAATAATCGATGTGGGCCTGTATGTGGTGAAAGGGAACACTTTTACATGGCTGGTGGGAATGTAAACTAGTAAAGCCACTATGGAAAACAGTTTGGATATTCCTTGAAGAACTAAAAGTAGAACTCTCATTTGATCCAGCAATCTCACTCCTGGGTATCTACCCAGAGAAAAATAAGTCATTATAAGAAAAAGATACTTGCATATACATGTTTACAGCAGCACAATTTACATTTGCAAACTTATGGAACCAGCCCAAATGTCCATCAATCAATGACTGGATAAAAACATTGTGGTATGTATATTTAACATGGAATACTACTCAGGCATAAAAAGGAACAAAATAATGGCATTCACAGCAACCTGGATGGAATTAGAGACCATGATTCCAAGTGAAGTAACTCAAGGATGGAGAAACCAAACATCGTATGTTTTCACTCATAAGTGGGAGCTAAGCTATGAGGATGTAAAGGCATAAGAATGATACAATCGACTTTAGCTATTCAAGGGAAAGGATTGGAGGGGGGGTTAGAGCTAAAGACTATACATTGGGTATAGTGTACACTGCTCAAGTGATGGGTGCACCAAAATCTCAGACATCATTGTATTTCACATTGCACATAAGCAGAATGGGAATAATAATATTAGCTATTTTATAAGATTGCTATGAAAGTTATGTTATTATTATGTTAGATTAGATTAGATTAGGTGTGCCAATTGCCTATCAATGTGGTACATACTAAGTGTGTCACAGCCACAAGTAATGAAGTCACCAATCCCAGCAGAGCAGTGAGTGACCCACTGCAAAAACATTTTCTCACCTGCTTTCTCAAACACTGAAGAAACTGAGACAGAATAAACAGAGCAAGGTGTTTGTTACAGATTTGTACCAGTGAAAGGTCCCCAGAAAGCAGGATTACATCAAAGGCAGCGGTTTGAAATGGGTCTGCCTGGGAGAGAATTCCAGAGTATGCAGTGCCCATTTGAGTTGCCTTGTGTCAGACAAAAATGTCCTGTCCTTTACACCTTACCTTGCCCTGTCACCAGATGCAGGTTGTATCAGGAAAGGCATGACCTCAGGCAAGGTAGCTCTGTGGCACAGACATACCTTGAAGGGGCTGGCTGCTATAGCCAGTATTTCCTTGAGTGGGGCACAGGTAGCACACTTCTGTGCATACCACACTTCAATCTACTTCCTTTTAAAAATGTGCATATTTTACAAACAATATAAAAAATTCCATAAAAACATCGAACAGTCCTCTGCTCCTCCTTTCCCTACCCTTGAGGGGAAACCATTGTCTCTCAGCACTTATTTGTATATTTCCAAATAAATTATTTATAGTATATTGTCTTATTTAATTATGTTGGTATTAACTTACTGCCAAATATGGTCACATTCTGAGGTAATAGAGGTTAGGACTTCAACATATGTGATAGTGGTTGGGGCATACAATTTAGTCTGTAACATTCTCATACTAGCCCACGTATGGCCTTTAGCAATTCATGAATAGTTTTTGCTGAATAAGTCTTCTTTGCTTATGTGTTAGCACTTGTATTAGTCAGGGTTCTCTTAGAGGGATACATCTATATCTGTCTATATCTATATCTATATCTATCTGTGAAGTTTATTAAGTATTAACTCACATGATCACAAGGTCCCACAATAGCCAAAGGGAGCTTGAAAGGACAACTAGAAAGGCTGTACTACTTGAGTGAATAGAAGAGAATTAAGAAATGTCTCCAGAGAAATGAGTAAGTCTTTTATTAGGTATATAATTTAACTCTTTAGAACATTTTATTAAGACAATTAAAACTATTGCTTACTTTTTTTAGTAAGTTGGAGATATTTGGATTAAGATAAACCATGCAAAGACAAGATTTATCAGGGAATCAAATGTAATCTTTGCTTTGTTTAATATTCAATTGCCTCAATTCTTAACTTTAGTGTTCTAATATAGATGTGTTTAGATTTAAAAAAAACACACACAGCTTAGAGGAAACCAAAATGGATATTAAATGACAAAAAAAGTTTCATTTATAACTTGTCCTGTAAACCAAAATAAAATTATAAGCCCCCAACTAACCAAGTGGACCCTCCTCTAGGCTAAGGGGATCCAAAGAAACCTGAGAAACTAATTCAGGCCATGAGAGAAAAGAGAAAGGGTCAGACATGTCTCATTATACTCTCCTCCCTTTGGAGTCCAGGCACAGCTGACCAGCATTAAAATAGAGATCCTAAGTCCCACAGAATAGACTCTTGTAGCAATAAGATACCAACTCCAACCTGACTCTGGTATAACATCACATGACAGATAACAGGCCCTAAAAGGAAATCAAAGCATTTTATCCCGAAATATATTTCTTTGACATATTTTGAAACAGTTCTGCACAAAACTGTCTCTTGTGGGGGAAATCTCTTTTCCTTACTAGGTCTCTCCAGAGAGCCTGACACCTTTGACAAGAAACATTCACATCTATTCTCTCTGAAGCCTTCTACAGGGCAGAGAAGCTTCATCTACTTAACAAGACCATTGGCTTCCACCCTCCCTGCCACCCCCACCTTATCTTAACTCAAGCTGATTTTAACTCTTCAGGCAGAGCATAAACTTTCCAACCAATTGCCAATCAGGAAACTTTTAAATCTACCTACAACCTGGAAGAGGCACCTCCGACCCTGTACGAATCCCTTACCCACTGCTTCGAGATGTCCCTCCTTTTTCCTTTCTGGCCTAACCTTAAATATATTGATTTATGTTTGTGCCTGTAACTTCTGTCTTCTGTATAAAACAAATCTGTTACCCAACCACCTCAAGCACATATTTGCAGTACCACCTGAGGCTGTATCAGGAAGGGTTATGATCCTTAACTTTAGCAAAATAAACTTCTAAATTGATTGAGACCTGTCTCAGATACTTTTTAGTTTATGGTCCCAACAGAAAGAATTCCAAATATATAAGTTACTGATAATGGAAAAGCAGGCAAAAATAGGGGGAAAATATTTGCTGTTTTACCTTTAGTTATTTGGATCTCCCTTCCATAAGATGCCTATTTTCAGCAGTGATTTATGCCAACTGCCTTAATTTCATTCTACAGTGAAATATTCAAGGAGGATCAAGTGGTTCCCAGATGAATATTTCTGGAAAAAAGTAGCTACTGATCTGTGGGCAGGAAAACATGAAGTATTAGTGAGTTTCAGAGCCAGGAGGAGTGAGGGGAAAAGTCACTGAAAGTGACAGATGTCGCCTTCCTCATAGGTTCTTCTTGTGACACAATATTCACATGAGAGTACATTTGCCCATTTAATTTTTAAGGAAAGAAAATAAATAGAGCAAAGAAATGAAAAGTAAATCACCCCTTGCCAGAGAATATTTATAATGCCAATGGGATGGTCTCAGTAGACGAGAGAAACAAAGGGAATCTAAATGGAATGAATAAAATAAAGAGCAGAGAGAGGCCTGAAGAAATAAAACTGAGGTGTGAAAAGCAAGACCAGGACATGAAACATGGGATAGAAACAAGAGAAATGAGTCAGAGAGACAATTAAATTCTTAATTAAAATTTAGTCCAGGCAGGGTGGCTCACGCCTGTAATCCCAGCACTTTGGGAGGCCAAGGCAGGCAGATCACTTGAGCCCAGGAATTCGAGACCAGCCTGGGCAACATGGCGAAACCCTGTCTCTACAAAAAATACAAAACTTAGCCAGGTGTGGTAGTACATGCCTGTAGTCCCAGGTACTTGGGAGGCTGAGGTGGGAGGATCACCTGTGTCTGGGAGGCAGAGGTTGCAGTGAGCTGAGATCACGTCACTACACTCCAGCCTTTGAGACAGAGTGAGACTCTGTCTCAAAATAAATAAATTAATTAAAATAAAATTTAGGTATTAGTGAGTTTTCAACTATTCATAAATTATTTTTATTATTCATATATTATGTTGTGATTTTACAACTAGCATAATTTTTGAAATGTCTTTATATAATCTATGTCTTTTTGAAGCCTATTAATTTTTTTAAGAGATGCAATATATGATACAAATACAGTTTTCTGAACACAGTATTATTTAGTCATTGAGAAGAGATTATATCATTTGGAGTAATTGAAAATCTTTCCTCAGGAAGAGAATGTGTCACTGAAATGCAAGCCAGTCTAATATCCAAACTTTATAAAGCCTATTGGTGAATATCAGGTGATAGTTGTTTCTCTAAGGTGGCCTCATTTCAGCTTCACATTGGGAGATATGTCCATATGAAACAATACACCCATAAATGGTAGGAGGAAGCTGGATCCAGGTTGAGGGAAAGATAACTAAGATGGATTTTAGTCAGGAAAGTCAGTGGCCTTGAAAGGTAACTGGGGCAGATTTCTATTTTGGGAATTAAGACAGAATTTTAAGTTCATAGAACTAAGCTATCAAAGAAGTGTGTGTGTGTGTGTGTGTGTGTGTGTGTGCGTGCGCACATGTGTGTGTGTGTGTGTGTGTGTGTGAGAAGTGGTTTAAAATTTACAACCACAACTTCTCGGAATTTGCCCATTGAGTACAGAAAACTAGCTATGCTGACAGAAAAGGAAATTGGCAGCTGTGATTTTCTCACTATAAGAAAGTTGTAGGATTCCAGACTAAACTCCATTTCCAAGGCCAATCAGATGTTTACATGTGTGGATGTTTACATGTGGAGCTGCAGACATTGTTTTCCTTCTTCAGTCAGGAATAGGAATTTTAGGAACTAGGTTTGAGCAGATTAGGTAAGGGATGGACATCCAGCTGGGTGATGTTAAAAATAAAGAGGGAGAAAACAGAAATTAGCGCTCCAAAGCTAAGATTTTCAGTTAAAAAATAATATAGCCTGTAATCCCAGCTACTCAGTAAGCTGAGGCAGAAGAATCACTTGAACCCAGCAGGCGGAGGTTGCAGTGAGCCGAGATGGTGCCACTGCACTCCAGCCTGGGCAACAGAGTAAGACTCCGTCTCAAAAATAAATAAATAAATAAATAAACAAACAAACAAACAAACAATAATAAAAATAAATAATAATAATATAAAAATATATTGAGCACTCATTATGTCTCATCTCCTGGGCTAAATATTTTGTAACTATTTTTTACTTTAATTTTCATAAGCATGCTGTAGGGTAGATAATATTATTATTTTTATTTAACATACAAGAATATAGAAGCACAAAGAGAATAAATATCATGCTTAATATCACGACTTGTAAATGAGGAATATGTCAGATTATAGTCTATGTCTCTGTAACAACTAGTCCTACTAATCCTTCAAACAGCTACAATTTCAAAGCTGTATTTTAGGAAGAAACTTCTCTCACTGATGGTTATCTTTAGTTGACTTCAGGAGGATAGGGTGGTAAGATAATTTTTTAGCTCTTTTCAACAGTACACCAGAAAGTAAGCTTTATTTATTTATTTATTTTTTTCTCTCACTCTGTCGCCCAGACTGGAGTGCAGTGGCGTGACTCAGCTCACTGCAACAGTCGTGAGCCACTGTGCCCCGCTTATCTTGCCCTATTTATTGTTGATTGTTAAAGGCCTCTAAATGAGTTTCTAGAAGAAAAAATTATGAAACTCTTGAAACTCATGGAGTATAGTAACACAAATAGTTTAAAGATGGTTGATTTAAGAGACATTCTGAAAAGCAGAATGGTGTAGTAGAAAGACCTTAGGCTTTAGAATTAGACAGAGTTTTTAATACAAACTTTGCTGTTTTCTACTAGCTTGAATCCAAGCATGTCAACTCTTGTAAACCATAGTACACGTTTGTGTGTGTCTGTGTGTGTGTGTTTATAATGATATATATGATATATATATTTTTACTTCATAATGAAGTAAATATATATAACATATATAGATATAGCTATATGTCATATGTATATATCATATGAAGTAAAAAAATTAGTCTGTAACAGAGCCTCATAAAAAATATAGAAGTTTGTATTTTAAATCTGACATTCACGTTTAGCTGTCTTTGGTATGCAACCAATCTATTTGTAATTTATTTTAGTATAAAGCTCAGAATTGAAGTCAAATTATTTTTAAGATTTCAATCTCAAAGGGATATGAAATCAGAGGCATTCAGGCTTATTTAATTAAAAGACAATTTCAGCTCTATGATTAAAGAAAAGTGTTTCTCACATTAAACAATTTACTATATGTACATCAGCATCATGGATTAATGTATTTCCAAAGTATTTACTCAATCTACAAGCATATTTTTCTTTGTAAGTACTTTTAAATTGCTAGATTCAACTTTTTATAATTTCAAAAATCCCAAATGAGAAACAAGTACGATATAATATCATTCATCTCTGTTCAAAGGAAGGGATTTTGTCAGATTTAGGATATAATTATTCATTAGGAATGTATATAAACCAGGACCAAAACTTGCTTACTTGCTGAGCCCTCCTCATGCAGAAATCTGAAAACTCTTCTACTCTAAACTCTTGTTTATGTTTCCAAAAGATATTACTTTAACACATACTATGTATGCATCACGTACAGCACTCACTCTGCTAAGCTCTGTGTGTGTTAGCTTGTGTGTGTGTGTGTGTGTGTGTGTGTGTGTGTGTTTAAATACACAAGTCGTGGTTTACTTGAGAAATAGAAAAATTAATCTACTATTTTAATATAAAGTGAAGAATTTTGTAATATAGTTTTTCACCTAAATATAGGAGGAAATGTCTGCAAAAACCTTATCAAGTAGGTGTTATATGAGTTGAGTCTTACCGGCCGTGGACGAGTTATTGTGTTACACTTGTCCCTTTATTACATCAGTTATACTGGGGAATGGAGCAAAATAAAATCAGGGAGAGAGACTGGAATGAGACCACGAATGGCATTGTATATTATGCAGGTATTTTAAACAGTATTTTCTAGAAAATGGAGGCCATTAAAGGATTTTTAGGCAAGAAAGTAACAGGACAATATTTTCAGCAATGTGGAAGATGGTTGCTGGGAAGGCTAAACAAGAGATGCTAATAGGGAGAACATTACATTACTACAAGCAAGAGATGATAAGGATGTGAATTAAAATAATGGCATTAAACATCCAGAAATTCAGGCACAAATATAAGATAAATATTATAGAAGCCGGTGACTAATTGGTTGTGGGGAACAAAGAGAAGGGACAAACAGTTCCAGAAGCAAGTGTCTGAGTAAAAGAGGTTGTTAACTAAGAAAATGAAGGATGACTTCTGTGTTGAGGTGTGTTATGAATGTGTAGTCACCATGAGCTTGATTTGACTCTTGATAATTCACATGGAGATTCAAAGTTGTGTCAATAAACACTAGCTTTAGATATATAGGTGTTGATTTCAATAGTTTAGATGTTGGTTTTTCATATGTATTTTGAGGGTTGTCTCCATGAATAATTAAAGCCTAATTATTCAGGCTGATATTGACTGATATTGACTGATATTGACTGATAAATATCCAGAACTGATATTGACTAAGAAGAGCATAAAAGCAGAGGATGGAAAGCAGAGAAACATTGTAGGAGCAAATAAAGGGAAACACAGAAAACATGGTTTCAGCACAGTCTGGTCCAAAGATGATAGACTTTTTGTTAGTTTGGGACCTCCTCTGCAGTTAGTCATAGCCTCCTGGAACTTCCAGAATACAATTGAGGTAGAATTACTTTTGAGGTTTATATGGATAGTCTTTATTTACCACTTGGATCAGCAGTATAAGGAAGCTGACTGTTAAGATTTACACAGGTGGCCGGGCGCGGTGGCCCATGCCTGTAATCCCAGCACTTTGGGAGGCCAAGGCGGGCAGATCACCTGAGGTCAGGAGTTCGAGCCCAGCCTGACCAACATGGAGAAACCCCATCTCTACTAAAAATACAAAATTAGCCGGGCATGGTGGTACATGCCTGTAATCCCAGCTACTTGGGAAGCTGAGGCAGAAGAATCGCTTGAACCTGGGAGGCAGAGGTTGCAGTGAGCTGAGATCATCGTGCCATTGCACTCCAGCCTGGGCAACAAGAGGAAAACTGTCTCAAAAAAAAGGAAAAAAGAAAAAAAAAAAGATTTACACAGGCAGTCCACGCTTTTAAAAATTAGGGAGATGCTCGTATAACCAATAATTTACTTTCTTCCAGAAGTCTCAAAGCACCCTGATCTTACCCAGGACCTTCCTTGCATTATAAAAATATAAACCAGACAGTACATTCCTTCTACATGTGTAGAATGTTTACTAATGTAATGTGTATGGGGACATGGTTAGCTTTGGAAAACAAGAGCTAGACACACATACATGTAACAGTATTGCTGTTATGATCATTGCACTTAATTCATAGTATTACCTGCTATCTGGGCCCTGTGCTAATTTATGAACATCTACTATTAGTGATCTCTCATTTGTTTTCATTAACCACCTACATGAAACTATATAATCTTGATTTATCTTCACACCACCCTTTGTTTACTATTTTTTCTAGTAAAGATAATATTGTAATTACATAAATTAACCTTTAACACTACGGACTCGGGCAGAACCTAAATCAGTTTCTGCATCTTCAAATTACTAGTAATCCACAATATGGCAATTCATAAAAATTTTTGAAGCTTTACATATTTATGTTGAAATAATGGACATAATATCTCTTTTTTAGGATATTAAAAGAAAATACTGGAACATTGTAGGTGCTCAATAAATGATAGCTTTGACAATAGTAAATGTCATTCTCTGGGATCTGGAAACAGAATATAGACTGACTGAATATCAGAGAAGACCAAGAATCCCCCTAGAATTGTTAGGACTGTCACTAGCAAGTACTAATTTCAAAGAAGTCTGGAAATTTACATCATTCTTAGAAAAGACTGCACTGGCAAGGAGATCATACGTAGTCTTTAAGGATTTTGTTATTGTTGTTTTTTAAGTCTTTTTTCTTGTGCAGATCCTTGTTCCCAAATAATTGCTTGGCTTTAAATTATCTAATTGTTTTCTTAATCAACTATTCATATATATTCTGCCAACTGTTCCCAGTATAGCTCATTTATTTATCCTCTTTCCACCATGTAAGCAGTCACAAAGATTGGAAAAAAGACTTCTTAAGATAACAGTGTAACTTACTAGTTATTTAACTAATGTCTGTCTTCCACTCTATGCTTTAAGCCCCGCAAGGGTAGAACAAGTGTCTGTTACACTTAGTCTGTATCCTCACATCCAGAAAAGTGCACTTAGCATGAAGAAGATGGTTGGTTGGTAGGGAATACAGCAACTATAGAATTAAATCAAAACATTTTCTGTCTGTGCAGATATTTTGGTCATGTCTTCAACTGCAAATGTAGGAATCGTCCCCCAGTTTTCTTCAATTTACCACTAGTCATCATGCTCACTTGACATTGCATCTACAAATAGGCAAAGGGCAAATGTGTGCATATATGAGGTTGTATGTTGTATAAATCCACTTTTAGATGCAGTTGCCAGTAAATACGTATTTTTAAACACAAAATGTTTCAAATTTCCCACGTTAAATACTCTAGTGCTAAAATAAGTCAGTTCTAATTTGAAGGGCAAAAGTCCATTCTGTGCCTTACAGACAAAGTAAAAAACACATTTGGCCATTGACAGACCAACTCACTTTTTAATAACACTTCACATCAGAAGACATTAGAGTAATGTATTTAAGATGCATAAGGAAAGTCAATGTGAACCAAAGATTTTATATCCATTCAGATTGAAATAAAGGTCACAGACAATGTGTTATGAACATGGAAAAACTCAGGTTCTATGACCATTTTTCTACTAGAACACAAGCTTCAGGCAATCAAGAAATCCAAGTACAAGCTTGAATAATACATCTAATGGCAAGAATTGAACAAATATGGTCATAGAAAAAAGACTAAATCCTGTGTATAAAAGTTATATACTATATAAATAATATTTTTTTTGTACAAAAATAGATATAAAAGCACACAATGGTGAAGGGATAAGGGATGAGAATATGCAAAATAAATAAGCATGCTGACTGCCTCATTGTATTAACCAGAAGTTAAAGACTAATATTTTCAATACAAAGTATGGAGATACATGGGAAAGAAGAATGTATTAGGCAATTTATTATAGTTCATAGTAGAATATTCATATATATCCTATAAAGTACAACTTAAATATATACAATAAAAATAAACAAAACTTCACTACATTAAAAAAATAAATTTTCCTAAGTAATTAAAATAAAAGAGATGATAAAGAGAAGTTTCTTGCATGCGAGCCTACCCTAAAGATTTCAGCTCTTTCTTTCCTCCAAATCATATGAGTCAGTTCCTAAAGTAAATCTGTTTTGTTTTTTTTTTATATTTCCCCTATTGGCTCTGTTTCTCTGGAGAACACTTTCTGATAAACACTACATGCTATACATTAAAATCTCTGTTTTCAACTATATAAATTCTAAGTATGAAGCATTCTTTTTTATTATTTTTTATTTTTTCAAGATGAGGCCTTGCTCTGTCACTTGGGCTGGAGTGCAGTGGCACAATCACAGCTCACTGCAGCCTCAACTTCCTGGGCTCAAGCAATCCTCCCACCTCAGCCTCCTGAGTAGCTAGGATGACCGGCATGCACCACTGTGCCTGGATATTGAAATATTCTTGATGAAAAGTGAGCTGAATAGATTAAGTAATGGTCAAGAGACTAGGGAGAAGGACTTGTTAAAAATACTTTACTCTCTGAGACTTAATATTGGTACATCAGTTGTCTCTGGCCTCTTGTGTTGGGCAGTTCTTAAAGCTAGGGAGACCTCTATGTTGGAGTTTTGGTTTGATAATCAGACAACAACTGCTATTTGAACTTTATTTTGATCTCAGCCTTCAGAAGCCTAAAAAGTTGAACACATAATTTAGTGTCATTTCTGGCATTCCTCGAATTGTGCATGACCAAATAATTTGTGGTCTGGTAAGCTTCCATTGTCATATCTAGTCAGTATAAAAATATGAAAAATACAGCTTTAGTCTTACCATTTGCACTTATGTTATTACAGGAATCTTCACAACAAATAGATTTAAACATTCCAGATATAACGGGGAAGTAAAAATCTAAATACTAAAGATGTTAACATTACAAAAGTTGAGATAAAAATATATATTACCTTTACAAAAATAAAATGTATAATAATGAATGGCTTCTTCAAAGCGCGTTTCTGTATAAAAGCAATTATTTAAAATGTTCACACAATCAAATAAATAGAAAAAGATACCAGAGACAGTAAGGCTATCAAAAGAGATTGCATTAACTAAATAGCATTAGGAAAAATTTTAATCATATCTCCTATAAGCCAACAAGAGATTGTAAAATTAATATAAATCAAAATAATGGAGATGAAATTATATGTTAATCCTAATATGTGTTTTGTCTACTAACATAATAGCCAATATTATAGCTATTAAAAATTAATCTTTGTAAAGTACATTTTACATTAATTTATTTAAATCCATTTCATTTCCTAAGGAACCCACAGTTTTTTACTTGAAAATTTTCTCAAGTGATAGTGTAAACGAACAAGTGAAGGCAAAAAAAAAATACACACACACATACTCGCATAAAAACAACCACAGGCACCCACACACACAAAGACAAAAATCTGTACCTGAATATAGTGTGAAAGCATCTTTTCAAATAATGTGCAGAAGCTTTAGTTCTTAGGTTGACTTCAATAAAGTTATATAATATCTTTCAAATAAAACTTAACCAGGAGGTAAGTTTGCACCTTATGTAATGATATTTGAAAAGAGTAAGAATTACAGCTTAATGATTTGGTGGTAACATCACCATTGCCAATTCCCTCTACTGAAAGAAATAGTTTTAAAAAAGAAGGCTTGCTCTTCTTCCCCCACTGACATCAACTGAAAGTAAGAGACCCTTGTAGCAATGCAAATGTTTCCTATAACTACAGTAGCAATTTAACATTTTTATTATATTTTGGAACTACCAAGAAATTATTGTTTCATCCTTAAAATGAAGTCTAATTAGATTTGAACGGACAAATGTAAAAATACCTTTAAGTGTTACATAAAAAGTGTTACATAAAAGAGGCTTTGTTGTTCATACATTTGTCTAGATTTTTAACATGAATCATAAATATATTAAGGACATTTTTCTAAAAATCATCCCTGCTACACTGTGCCAAAGTAACAATACAAGCAAGAATGATCACGCTATGAGTGAAATTGTTTAAAACAGTCCTACATGGTTGCTAAATTTTATTTATTTTTATTTTATTTTTGAGACAGGGTATAGTTCTGTCACCCAGGCTGGAGTGCAGTGGCGTATTCACAGCTCACTGCAACCATGACATCCTGGGCTCAATTCTCCTACCTCAGCCTCCTGAGTAGCTGGGAGCACAGGCGCATGCCACCTCACCTGGCTCTTTTTTTTTTTTTTTTTTTTTTTTTTTGAGATGGAGTCTCGCTCTGCCATCTAGGATGACGTGCAGTGGCATGATCTTGGCTCACTGCAACCTCTGCCTTCCGAGTTCAAGGGATTATCCTGTCTCAGCCTCCCAAGCAGCTGGGACTACAGGCGCCACCACCTCGCCCAGCTAATTTTTGTAGTTTTAGTAGAGACAGGGTTTCACCATGTTGACCAGGTTGTCTCGAATTCTTGACCTAAAGTGATCCTCCTGCCTTGGCCTCCCAAAGTGCTAGGATTACAGGCATGAGCCACCGTGCCCAGCCCCAGCTCATTTTTGTATTTTACTTTTTGTAGAGATGTGATCTCGCTGTGTTGCCCAGGGTGGTCTCCAGCTCCTGAGCTCAAAGGATTCGCCCGCCTCGGCCTTCCAAAGTGCTGGGATTACAGGAGTAAGCCATGGCACCTGGGCTGCAAAATTTTAAAAGGAATGAATACAAGGAATTTTTATATATTTTATAATCAGTATCACTTATATCAGTCAGAGTTTCCAGAGAAACATAACCAACGGTAGAGGGATGATAGAGACAAAGACAGAGAAAGATGGAGATAGATGATAGATACACACAGATTTATTTTAAGAAATGGACTTTTAGAATTGTGAGGTCTGGCAAGTTGGAAATCCATAGGGCAGGCTAGTGAGCTGAAAATTCAAGCAAGATTTTTATGTTAAGACTTGAAGCAGAAGTCCTTTCCTGGGAAGCCTCACCCTTTTCTCTTTTTTTGGGGGGTGGGGGGGGACAGAGACGGAGTTTCGCTCTGTCACCCAGGCTGGAGTGCAGTGGCGCGATCTCTGCTCACTGCAAGCACCGCCCCCTGGGTTCACACCATTCTCTTGCCTCAGCCTCCCGAGTAGCTGGGACTACAGGCACCCGCCACCACAACCGGCTAATTTTTTTTTTTTTTTTTGTATTTTTAGTAGAGACCGGGTTTCACCGTGTTAGCCAAGATGGTCTCGATCTCCTGACCTCATGATCCGCCTGCCTCAGCCTCCCAAAGTGCTGGATTACAGGCTTACAGGCGTGAGCCATAGAGCACAGCCACCCTTGGCTCTTAAAGCCTTCAATTGATTGGATGAGGCCAATCCACATTATGAAGGGTAATCTTTCCTTAAAACTTTCCTTAAAAGTTTATTGCATCTACAAAATACACTCACAGCAACATCTAGACACACAAACAATTGAGCACCATATCCTATTCAAGTTGGCACACAGAATTTAACTGTCCCAACTACGTACATTAATTGCTACAAATCATATTCAAAGAATGGACATAATTTTTGAAGGTACAGATATTTTGTAATGACCATGTGTTTTTGTGAAACTTAATGTATCTCAGAAAACATTTTAAAACATTACTGTTACATATATTCTTCTTTTGGAGATTATAGATGACTTCAAATAGAAAAAAAGCCTTATTTTTAAGTGTAATAAAATATTCTTTTTAAAATATAGCTCAGAACATAGAAATCTAGATATATTAGAATATTTATGCTTATACCTATAGCCTTTCAATATTCAAGATGGATATATATATATTCAAGGAAATATATTTTTCAAAATTAATATGAGATATGCTGTAAACAACTACCCTATTAACAGATAAAATGCTAATTTTAATATACAAGTCAAAAATTGCTTGTCAATAAAGGACTGATGTGCAGATATACAAATGGATTTTTAAATAATTGTTTCATTGTTTTGTCTGAAGTCATTACTATGAGGACAATAAGTAATAGTTAAGTATGAAAATATGATAAATAGTAGTACAAGATATTTTTCTAGGTTGCGATAAAATGTGGTCTAAACTAATCTTGCAACCCTATGCTCATTACCATGTTCTAACTAATCTCTGTTATAAAAGAAGTTGGAAACAGGCCGTTTGATGATATAAAGGAATTTGTTTAAAAAGAGATGTAGCTCTGAAAGAAACTTCCTCTCTTTTACAGAGTTCAGGTCGGTTATTTTTCCACTTCTCTGTGTCATGAACGACCAATTGTACTTTCCTCCTCAAACCAAGCAAGAGCTCAGCAAAAGACCCCATCAGAGTAACAGGAAGCATTTGTGGGAAAGGATAGATCTTACTCCTAGATGAATTCTAGTAAACTGCAGAAACTTGTTTACTACTATCAAGGCAGAGCACACATGGGTTCTTATAGAGTCAAATCATGTAAAAGGAAGTTACCCTTGTCAATAAGGTGAAAAGAGAAGCTGCACTTCACCAGCAATCTTGCAAAAAGTGAAGGGGGTAGCTGGGCTAGTCCCAACTTAAAAGCATCCGTCATAAAAAGACTGCTTATCAGGGAGCAGAGACCCGTGAATAATAATGCTACAGGGCAGTAGCTGAAAGTGTGTCATTAAAAGTGACCAGAGAATGAAGTTCCCAGGTGTATTTCAAGAGCCCAGGGGTGGTGGGGGAGGTTTCATGGAGAAGGAGCCGGCAAGTGTTCAAAGATTCTACAGAAATGCCCTGAGAAGAAGGAACTAGTGATTGAACTCCTTCAACAGCAAAAGGTATTAGATATTCCTCCGTTGCTAAGAGAGGACCACACACAACCTCTACAAAGTATAATGGCTTTTGCCTCTTTACCTTTAAACATTATCTCCACTCCCCATCCCCCTGGAGGAAACAGAAGCAACCTGATAAATGGGAGACAGGCAAAAGGGCAAGGTGCGGTGAAGGGACAGATCATGCATTTTTCCCACTGTGAAAACAGAACAGCAGCCCTGTTTACTAAAGGGGAAAAAGCTTTGTATTGAAGAAAGGTCAGCATACTTTATTATAAAGACAGCTGCATATGATTGTGGCATGCAAATAGATATTTCATGGCTATAAAAATTCATGGTGACTTCAACTAAACCACGTATATTATGACTCTGAGCTAATATAATCCAAGTAATAGTGTATTTTGAATAGTTTACTAGGTATATTTTATTCCAGTGGACACTAAAATACTTAAAAACAGATTATGCTAGCCAGTGGCTCAATAAGAAACATATTTATGTTTTACACTGACAATAACTTAATTTCATCATCCGTGGGTAGATGATAGATTTTCTTGTGACCTATTCATGAGGAAACCTGACATATTTGAATACAGTATAAACTTTGATAAAATTTAGATGTATTGCTTTGTAAGATTTCTATAATTTAAATATGAATAACTCATGTTTTCATCAAAGAGGATACTGCAAACCAAATACCACCGATGTTACTATATTATTTATAGTTGGGCATTTTTCGTATCTTCATAAATACCACATAATTATACAAATATAAATGGTTAATATCTACTTTCAATCAGCAATGGGTTTATGTTTAATATGAGGGCCTCAATTTAGAGACTTTTTCTTGGGGAAAAAAGAAAGTAACATTATTTATTCTACTATATATCACCTACATTTTTTTTAAATTTATGTCTGCAAACAAACTTTGGACTCAAATCTGGACACTCTCACTTTTAATAAGAAGAGTTAAGAGTGCATACTATTGAAACAACCACAGGAAATCAGGCATAAACTAGAACATGAACTTAAATGTATGCTCATCCCAGCTATATAATCTAATCTGTTAGAATTTCCTTAATAGTGTATGATTTGTAATCAGTTTCTCATATTTTATTACAACTGTGTATGTAATGTATATTTTGATGTCTTGTAGGATTATTAACAATATAGTATTTTTCTTGTCATTGATTTTTGACCAAGGTACACAGAAAAAGACATGTGCAAAATACATAGTTAAAACATTGATATACAAATAAAAATAAAGACTAGGGAAAAAATTTATGGATTATAGTCAATAATGTACCTAGAAATACCTAAACGGTATTACAACATATGGAAATATTGATAACATTTTCTTACACTTCCCTATCTAATATAAAATGTCATTTTACTGTTTCCCTTCTTAATATTTCCCAAATTCCTTCTGGCTTTATTCTCATTATCATCAAGTTACTCTCTTCCCTAATGACACACCAAGTCACTCACCATAGCCTACCAACTAATTTCTCACCTGGAGGTTTCTCCTTTCTAATTCATCCTACACACTTCTCTTAGACTAATGTCTCTAATATGTTTAATCATACCAGTCATTATTTTATTCATCAACAATTTATTGACTGCTCTGTTTTGTCCTACATGAAGTAAACTTGATATCTCCTTCACGGAAACTTAAAGTCTACTAGGGAGACATAGTAAAAAAAAAATTATCCTTATAAAAATAAAATCATTAGTTCTGATAACTGCTATGAAGAAATTGAACAGACTGCTATGGGAGAAAGGGGCCTATTTGAGAAATTGGAAAAGTTTGTTAGAAGAACCAACAATTATGCTGAAACTTGAAGGATAGGGAAGGAACAGCCAGTCAAGGAAGATCTACAGCATAGATTATTGTGTAGCTTGTTATGGTGGAAATGCCCAGTACACGTGAGGAACTCAAGTCTAGCTACTATAGATTCCTGGATCATAGTGTGAGGGGATCTTGTGAGCTGTCTGGCAAGGTGGACAAGGCTTGATCATATGGGATTTGGGAGGCAATGTTAGAGGCTTTTTTTTTTTCCCCTAAGTGCATTGGACCTTTCTGTTCTCCTTTGCAAATACCTATAAATATTTTGAAGTTAAACAAAATATAGAGATAGATGTCTAAACTTAAAACATTTTATTTTGGAAGTAATAATTGCAATTTGGGGCATACACACAGACTAGATTGTCTTCAGTATGTTTAAAGAACAGTGAGAAAGCTGGAGGTTTAAATAAAAGCATAAATGTTATGCATTGTTTTGAAAAATGTTCTTTGGCACTAGTAAAGTTTTGGGGATTGGTGAGTGACCACGGTAGGTAAAACTAGTCTTAGAGCCTCAGCGGGTCATTTTAGTAGTTAGTTACCAGATAAAAGTGGTTTCAGGCTACAGTAGGCGGTTTCAGCAGCTAGGCTTGGAAACAATTACATTCCTGGAGCAATGTTATGTGCTGTGAGTGTGTTAGCTCCTCTCGATTATGCTTTGGTTCAGTAGGACAAGAATAACCCAATCCATATGATCAACATTCACAAATCTATAATTATTTCAAAATAAAAAAATAATTTTAAAAACTGTATATTAGTTTGCTTCCATAACAAATTATCACAGATTGGGTGGCTTAAACAGAAATGCATTTGTTTACAGTTCTGGAGGTTGGAAGTCCAAGATCAAGGTTTCATAGGTTTGGTTTTCCCTGAGGCCTCTATTCTTTGCTTGCAGATGGCCATTTTCTTACTGTGTCCTTAGATGGGCTTTGCCATGCACACACGTACCCTTGGCATCTCTGTGCGTCCAAATATTCTCTTCTTATAAGAACCACCTGTCAGATGGAATTATGGCCTACCCAGTATCTAAATTCAGTCACATTCTGAGGGATTGAGGTTAAAGGCTTCGACATATGAATGACAGGAGGACAAAATTTAGTCCATAACCATTATTTGATTGAAATCAAACATTTATTTTGAGTAAAAATAGCAAAATATTGTTAAGTATTATTCTTCTCATTTTCTGATGGAAAAATCTTACTAGTAAGCACTCAAACAGTATTTAACAAGAGTGTAATATTAGCAAACATTTTACCCAGCCTTTACATGATGGGCTTACTCATGAGTAGGTAAACAGGAAAATCTATAGTCTACCCACAGATGATGATATTAAGCTTCTGTCAATGTAAGAAACATAAATATGCTTGATATTGAGCTGCTGGCTGGCATAATCTGTTTTTAGAAAAACAAAGAGGGAAATGCAGACAGACAAGCTATCATAAAAATCAATATGATGGCAGTGGATTTTTAGGTTGGAGTAACAATTTTTATTTTCACCATATTTTCTTGCCTTTTTTTTCCTAAGTTTTCTACAATTAATTATTATTTTGTAATTAAAATGTATCATTACAATAATAAATCTTGTAAAACACATTAAGAATACATATTCTTAATTACTTAATGTTTTCTTACTGTAACATTTTTTACTATTTTCTTGCTTTTCTATAATAAATAGTTATTCACTGAATTATTGCTTGTGTTAAATTCCAGGAGTTGCACTGCTTGGCAAAGAATATGATGACACTTCGGGAGGCCAAGGCAGGTGGATCACGAGGTCAGGAATTCGAGACCAGCCTGACCAACATGGTGAAACCCTGTCTCTGTTAAAAATGCAAAAATTAGCCCAGCATGGTGGCGTATGCCTGTAATCCCAGCTACTCAGGAGGCTGAGGAAAGAGAATCACTTGAATCCAGGAGGCAGAAGTTGCAGTGAGCTGAGATCGCGCCATTGCACTCCAGCCTAGGCAACAGATCAAAACTCTGTCTCAAAAAAAAAAAAAAAAGAAAAAAGAAAAAGAAGAATATGATGACACAATTTATCTATTGATTACAATCAGAAAATTGTCTTTCAAAAGAATTCTATCAGATCACATTGAAACCAGTATTGCAACACTACCTGGTTTTACCATTACTCAAGAACATAACATATATTATTAATTGGTTTTTGCTAAGTTAGTGAAATTGCCATCATTTTATTTTATTTCATTTCACTTAATTTCATTTGTTTGTACAAAGGGAGCCTGATTTCGAGTATATTAGGTTTTGTTATTGTTTCTCTGATACAAATTGTTTTTTCAGGTCAGTTTTTATGCTATTATTTTTTATTTTATTAGTGCAGGGGTGCAATTGTGGCTCACTGCAGACTCAAACTCCAGGGCTCAAACGATCTTCCTATCTCAGCCTTCCACGTAGCTGGGACTACAGGCATGCACCACCATGCCTGGCTACATTTTGTATTTTTTGTAGAGATGAGGTTTCGCCATGTTGCCCAGGCTGGTCATGAACTCCTGAGCTCAAGCACCCAGCCAGCCTCAGCCTCTCAAAGTTCTGGGATTATAGGCATAGAACCTGGCCAATATTATTTTTAAAACCAATATGGGCTCTAAATATAGGTGTTCAGAATATTTTATAGAAATAAAAATGTTGTAAAATGTAATCAGTAGCACCCACAAGTGAATACTTTCCTATAAGGAGCTTAGATATTTCTAATGCCATATTAACCAAATAATTTGTTATATACTAGAATAGAGTTTTCTTAATGTACTAAAGATTTCACACTTGTTAATCCTCATTCCCAGCTACACAGTCATTGTAAGAGTATAATCTATAATTGAAACAATCATTAAAAACAGTCACACAAAAATTTGCATATTATGAAAGATTCTAATTAGATCAGAATTTTATACTTATTTTACTGCCTTACCTTGTTTGCAAAGTCTTCTTTGTATATTTTGTATAAAATTATAGATAGAAGCAAATATATATCATCCTAAATTTTTTATTGTTATACATAAATAATCCAAGAAGTTTAGAATATACATATAAGGTGATGTAACTGATTTTATGCACAAAGAGTGGAGTGAGTCCTAACTCTCATTCGATCACCTTGCCCACCATAAAATTATCAATCTACATATACAAACTTTAAAAATAATCAGATCTTTTATACTACAATTGTAAAATCTCAAACTAATTCTAAATTAAGTTTTATATTTTTAGGACTCCAGACTAACACCAAGCCCAAGGGAATACATATTTAATCTTCATAGCAAATACTTCATTTCTGCAAGAAAGACAATGACATTTTCTTCTTTTCCTTTTCTATAAAATATATAAAAACCCAATTACTTTTGTTTTTTGTTTTCTGGGTGTTTTTTTTTTTTTTTTTGAGACAGAGTCTCACTCTGTCACCCAGGCTGAAGTGCAGTGCTGTGATTTGTCTCACTGCATCCTCTGCCTCCTGGGTTCAAGAGATTTTCCTGTCTCAGCCTCCTGAGTAGGTGGAATTACAGGCATGCACCACCATGCCTGTCTAATTTTTATAATTTTAGTAGAGATAGGGTTTCACTATGTTGGCCAGGCTGCTCTCGAACCCCCGACCTGAGGTGAACCGCCTGCCTCAGCCTCCCAAAGTGTTGGGATTACAGATGTGAGCTAATGCACGCAGCCAAAACCCAATTATAAATATCAGAAACAGTATGGAAAAAATAATTTGTCTCAGCGAGGCTTCATTAGATCTTGAAATTTAAACTGCCAGCTTTCATAAATTAATAGTGGAAAGGCAAGATTAATTCAACAGATATTTCTAAACAAGTCAGATATATAGGTCTCGCATAGTAGAAAACATCTGCAGAATGGGATTGAGATGAATTTAAATGTGACTTTCAAATAGAACTACATTTAAAAGTTCTAAATTTATTTATTTGCTTTCCCATTTAAAAAAAAAATATGGTTTTTAGTGGTCTTGGAAGCTACTAAATTGGTTAGCTGACCATCAAATTTTTCCAGAAAAAAATAATAAGTGCAATGGGAAAGGGTTATATTTCTAGAATTCCTAAATGTGAACCAGGAAATGAACTCTTAAGGTTGTTCATTTTCTTTGCTAGCCCTGTCTGATGTGTAAGTACTTTAATCTGTAATGAACATGGGAAGGTATAATTGTATATACTCAAATTGCAGTTCTTGCTAAGCTTCTGTCCAGTGAACTAGAAATTAAACTTCAGCTATAGTGGTGTTTAGTTATTCTTTGAGATTACAGTAGTTCAGTTTCAGTAAAAAGCAGGTTGAAAGAAGTTCACTGGAAATGATTGCTAAATCCTTTGCTAGAATAAAGTACAATGCAATTTTGGTCAAACATGTCCTGAATCTGTTGTTTTCAGTTTAGAATCCAAGCATCCTTGAGAGGGGTCACCCATGTACATGCAGCATTTACTTGGATGGAAATTACACATATACTTTGACAGTAATTACTGATGCAAATCACACCTAAGCATGACATAATGAGCATGTCAAAGTCAATTAAAATATAGAGACAAATTTCTAAATTGAAAATCTTTTATTTGGGGAGCAAGAGTTCTAATTTTCAGCATACACACAGACCAGTTGGTCTTCAGTATGTCTGAAGAACAAAGAGAAGTTCGGGAGCTTTATTAGAAAGAGAAATGTTACCCATCGCTTTGAAAGAAAGCTCATTGACACTAGGGAAGATTTTGGGAGCTGGCAAGCTCTGACTGGTAAGTGACAGTGGTAGGTAACAGCCATCTTAGAGTCACGACAGGCCATTTCAACAGCTGAACTTGTGGAAAATTAAATTTTTGGAACAGGTGCTATGTGCCCCAAGAGCTTTTCCCCTAGCCCCTCATTTCTGTCTTAGTGGGATATGGCAAGAGTGACTCAATTTGAATAATTAACTTTCACAAGTGCCACAAACATGATGAGGAAAGAAGAAATGCAAAGGAATAATATGCACAGAAGATAATGAAGGAGGAATTAAATTTGAGATGGAGTATAATTTCTAGAGGTTATGCAACCAAATTTAAAAATATTATATATAAGGATATGGAGTCTCAGAGAGAGTTGTAGAGTCAGACTCTAGTCTAAATGTTCAGTCATAAATCCAGAGGGAAATAGTACATCAGGGAAAGGTTAGGGCTAGAGAGAGAAATCTGTGAGTAAATCAAAAGACAAAAAAGTGCTCCAAGGTAGTCAACAGAGAAAAGAAGAATTAGGAAGACACAAACCTGAAAACAATTTATACTGAGGTGGATGGAGAAGGAAAATCAGGCAATATAAAGAGAATTTTAAAATAACCATGTTTGTAGATTTCTGCAGATATTTCCCAGGTCCCTTACTTTCAGGTTTGACTTCCATGAGAATGTTAGAAAAATTAAAATTAATGAATTAATTTTTAATGCACTTTCTTTGAAATGATCAAATCCTAATCTTCCCAGGTTAGCAATGTAGGGAGAATGTAACTGAGAACACCCTTTATTTTCCCCAAATTTCTCTTTCCCTGAATAATTTTTTTGTGTTGATCAATTGTTACAGTTATGTTGTCTTCTATGGAAAAAAAAAATAAGTTTTTGTCCAGAAGGTGTCATACTGTCTTAGCTGAGTTAAAGATGAATATTTAAACAGGACTTTAATTTCACTGTGGCCTCCACAAGGCAAGGAGAGCAGGAGAAATTTAGATAACTCTCACCATCAGGCTTCTGGGCTCTCCTGGCTTCTGACTTTCCCTTTCATAGAAATTTCCATTTTAATCTTTACTACCTGAGGGCTCTCAAACATTTAAAAACAAATCCTCATAGTTTGTGCCTGAGAAATCATGATCCCACAAGGCAGTTAGACTTTTCTCTCAAATGCCAAAGCTGAAATTTGTATTTCAGTTTTGTGCTTGAGAAATTCTACAAAATTGACCCCAGGAATATCCATCTCCTCAAGATATTTCCTTAAATGTTTAAAACTTTCCCCATGAAAAGTAAAACGGAGTGCATTTGTGGTTAATAAAATATAATAGCCCAGTTGGATAAAATGTTATGTTGGATAAGTGTTAATATGTAAGAAATATAAATGAGCATGAGTTTTAGAAATTAAGGGATTGTTTAATCTTTTATTGGAAAGTTAATAAACAGTACCTATCTCTCTGTATCTATTTCTAGCTCAATTTCTATCTGCTCCTGAATTTGGCTCATTCATGATCATGTCTTCCTTTACAGCATGATACCCAGAACTACTCAGGGCATTCCAACTGTTAAGTAGAGGAAAAGCATCATACAATGTAATTCATTCACCATATTTATCATATGTTTTATGAGAGCTTATTATATAATAGGCAGTGTTTTAGGCTATACAGATCCAAAAACAAACATATGTCGATGTTGAAAACTAAATAGGTTTAAAAATATATTTCTTTTCAAAATTTGAGTGCTTGAAATGCTTCCATAATAACACAGCAGATATTTAACATCAAAATTCATAACATATGGTATATTTATTCAGCATAATCACATTAATTACATAGGTAGTAGGGTGACAGAATTCATCAGTGACAAGGCCAGAGTACTGAATAATTTGAATGAGAATTTAAAAATTAGATCATTAACAGTCTGCCTTTATGCCTGACAAGGTATTCACAGCAATTACTAACAAAAGGGGATAATAACATATTTAGAATGGGCAGAGTTTAATTGCACATAGCGTATATAGTAGAAAACTCTTCTTAAAAAATGGGAAAAGTTAAGATTAATAGGAAGTGCAGGATTTATTCAGTTGGATTTTGTCGTTAACCAAAGAAAAACTGCAAAGCCCATCTTGCGTGAAACATTGCTGTTGGTTGTTGACATTTACAAAATGTGGAATCATTTCCTGCCCTAGAAAGCTTATTGAATATCATAAACTTTAACCCATAACTGCAGATGTGCTCCTTATTTCTCTTTAGCCCCTGCAGATCCAACTTCCATTCTTCTTTACTCTTTTTTGTGAGACACAATCTCCAAAGACCGTATCAGCGGCCCGCTTGCTTCTGGCTTGCCATTACACTATTGGCTAAAGGAAAACACTTAACAGGAGAGGGGGAGAGGGGCGAAGAAAGAGGGATGGGATATTTTTTTCCCAGGCATTCTCGCTCCTTGAGAGAAGAGGAATTAGATGTGTTTCTCCTGTGGCAGGGCCCTTCCTTCCACACTTACAGCTATGCTTTTTGGATTAATTCACCACTCCCTGGGCTTGCCACTTCACACCTAGAGTTGGTAATAGTTCCCCAACAGTCCCTAGTCCTAGGTACCTCATCCTTCCTTGTGACTAAAGGTGTGAATCTCACACTTTTAGAAACAGCACTTTCCTGGTTTGTTTGCAATAATCCAGCTTAAATATGCCATTTCTTCTCAGTCAGACCTCCGATTGAAAAATAGTGTCCTGCAGTGACTAGGGGTCCGCACTATATACACAGAGAAAATACTGGAGGATGAAAAAAAATTATGAATTCTAATTTAATCCTACAGCTTCTTTTCAACTAACACTCTGCATTTATTTTTCTGTCTGTCCATAACCATTCTGGTTCTAAGTGAACAATTCAACTTTGGAATGAAATGAAGGATCTATTCCCTTTCCACCATAAAATATTGCAATGATCCTTTACCATATTAACATTTGCTAAAAAGGTAGAAGATCTATTGCCATACTAGAATTTCCCCAGATGCTGGATTTTATTCAAACTGTATTATTTTATTACATAGCCCAGCAACAAAGAAATCATCTCACTAGACTCATATTTCTTTTATATAGAAGTATAATTATCACTTAATTTACATGCCATGGCATAATTTTACTTCTACTAAACTAAATAAAGAACCATATTAACATCTAAATATAATCAAAATATAGATTATTAGAAGTTTTTATTTTTAATAACTTTACTTTCACTTACATCCAATACTAATAATTTTAAAAATAAAAGTGCTATTGTGCATCTATAAATATAGAAAACTAGGTTCCATATATATATTATATATATATATATATATACAATTTTTTTTTTTTTTTTGAGACAGGAGTCTTGCTCTGTCACCCAGGCTGGAGTGCAATGGCGCAATCTCAGCTCACTGCAACCTCCACCTCCCAGGCTCAAGCTATTCTCCTGCCTCAGCCTCCCGAGCAGCTGGGATTACAGGCACCCACCACCACGCTCAGCTAACTTTGTGTGTGTGGATATTTTTAGTAGAGACGGGGTTCCACCATATGGGCCAGGGTGGTCTCGAACTCCTGACCTCCTGACCCGCCCACCTCGGCCTCCCAAAATGCTGGGACTATAGGCGTGAGCCACCGTTCCCGGCCCCATATATAAGTTTTTAGAATAACAGAAATATAAATGTATCTGGATGTCTTAAGGAATATTTTATTTCTGTCTCTTAATAGGTACATTCTTTTAAGATTTACCTATATATTGATTCAAACATTAGCATATTATAAATTGTGATCCATAATTAGAAACATATAGCTCCTAAGCTCAAACATAAAGTCTTCATAGACTTTCATACATGATTGCATTTAAAATTTTTAACATAATATAAGCCATTTTATTTAATTCAGGTTTGCCTGCAAACAAATTAGGTCAAGTTAATTGAGGTTAGGTCATGTTTTCTCTTAAGAATATTTGTATAATAAGCTCATAAACTTTCTGCAATAGTTTCTAGTCCCAAATCACAACTTTTCTGTTTTCAAGCATAATCTGATGTAAAAGTCTGTATGCATGGTATATGTACTTGTTTTCTATTATTATTAAATTACTATATTTAATGGCTTAAAAAAAACACAAATGTTTATGACCTCACAATTTCTGTCCCTGAGGAATTTGGAAGTGTCCTAGTGGGATGGCTCTGGCTCAGAGTCTCTCATGAAGTTGAAGTGCAGATGATGAATTTCATCTGAAGGTCTGACTAGTGCTGAAGGATTCATTTCTAAGCTGACAGTTCCTTCCTGGCTATTGGTAGGAGGCCTCAGTTCCTAACCGTGGACCTATCTGCAGAATAGGACAGCTGTCTTCATTCTGCAGCTTGCTAGAGTAAGTGGTGAAAGACATATAGAGAGAAAAGCTGTGATGTTGGAAGTGACATACCATTTCTTCTGCCATAGTCCATGGTCAAATAGGACTAATGCTGATATAGTATAAAAGGGACTAATACAAAGGTATGAATGCCAGGAGGTGGAGATCATTGGGACCATCTTGGAGGCTGGCTAGCAGAGTAAGTAACTTTCAAATCAGTGTATGTTATCATTTGACATCAAGTTATACAAATCCCAATAATTCTCAGGTCAGGAGAAGGTCAAAGGAAAATGAAGCATATTCCTATTTAATTTTGTGATCCTCGATGATGATGCAAACATGCCCGCAATATAATGAAAAACAACAGATAATGAAAGTCAGTTATAGTGCTGGTGCTACCATTGTGTCCTGTGTTATTTCTTGTTAGTCTCAAAAAACATATTTGCATCTGTCATCATCATTGTACAGAAATTGCACAGATTCAAATATTAAATAACTCTATAAGAACTTCAACATTTGAATTTTTATAAAAATTGTGTAATGAATTACATACCTCTTAGATATGAAAGTTTGACCTACCTTATTTTTCCCTGTGACTCTTTACACAACTGTTGTTTTTATTCATCTAGCTTATTTTTAAAAACAAGTCTAATTCTGCCAGTTAGGAGGTTTTGTGTATCCAAGGAAATGTCAAGAAATGTAGATTTTTGAACTTAACACTCTTTTCCTCATTATGGCATTTGTTTTATTCCATGAACATTTAACAACATATTTATTGACCTTCCTATTATTACAGTAACTGACATATTAACATAGTCAATGAACTTCTTTGTATAGACCTTGGCAAGCAGTTTTAAATAATAGATTTAAGTTGATTAAGCACAACTAAATAATATTCTCTATTGATATCAAGAAGTGGGTTTATTTCTGATTCCTGAGAGTTACTCTTCTTAGAAGTTATTTTTTATTTTCTAAAATAAATATTGACTTTTAAATATTGATATGTATGGGTTCTCATTTTTTTAAATAACTTTGCATTTCCAATAAGGTTGCTTACAGGGTGAATTATGCAATAGGCATAATTACAGTGCCTATCGTTCAAATACGGCTTTGCAGACACTGGAAATTTCTGACAGCAGAGGAGGTATGGGTTCTGATATATGTGTGAGGTCCAACTTTATAGTCCAAGTATGTAGGTTCAAGATATATATGGGAGTTAGACTAATAAGTTTTTAGCAATAGTTTCCATATTTTATATAGCAAGGTAAGGAAGAAGGAAGAATAAAAGATCACTCCCACATTTCTAATTTGAACATCTCAGTGAATACTGTTCACTGAGATGGAGAAAACAGGGTCAGTTCATTTATAAAAAATTTTTTCTCAAATATTTTATCTTACAGTTCATAGTGGAATGTAAAATTAATATAATTTTATTTTCTAGAACTAGTTAACTACATATTTGGGCAAATTGGTCCAAATTTCTATGTGAGTAATACATACATTTTCTTTAAAATATGCAACTTGGCTGGGCTTGGTGGCTTACATCTATTATCCCAACACTTTGGGATTAAGAGATCAGAACATCACTTGAGCACAGGAGTTTGAAACCAGCCTGGGCAACATCGTGAGACCCCAACTCCACACAAAAAAAATGAAAAAATAGCCAGGTGTGGTGGTGCATGCCTATAGTTCCAGCTACTTGGGAGGCTGAAACAGGAGGATCACCTGAGCCCAAGAGGTCAAGGCTGCAGGGGGCAATAGTCACATCACTGTACTCCAGACTTAGCACCATTGCGAGACCCTGTCTCAAAATATTGAAATAAAATAAATAAAATAAAATAAAATAAAAAAACAACTCTACAACTCTGTTGGACATGCCTCTAAATGTTAAATGGAGGTTGGATAAAATGGGAATCATCCTCTATTTAATTGTTTGGATTCTTAGAAAGAAAAATGGTTCTTCCTCTTGGAGCCAAACAAAAATAGGCAAGTCCTATTGATATTTAATATTTTTAGGAAGTTAATATCCTACATTAAAGGCAGTAATAAAAGGTTTAATGAAACTTTCATGCGGATAATAAATACAAAATTACATGTGTGTTCCATTCATGGCAAACCTTAAGCATGTGAACATTTCTGCTCTCAATACTCCAATGTAGCCATGAAAAATAAAGATACATCTTCAGTAATTTTTCAGTATTTAAAAATCTATGTGTTTGTGAATGTCTTTGTTTCTTAATGTTAGAAAGTAGAGGCCAGGTATTTTAGCTCAAGCCTATAATCCTAGTACTTTGGGAGGCCAAGGCAGGAGGATTGCTTGAGCCCAGGAGTTCAAGAGCCACACAGAACAACATAGAGAGACCCCATCTCTACAAAATATTTTTTTAAAAAATTAGTCTGGCATAGTGATGCACATCTGTGGTCCCAGTTACTTGGGAGACTGAGGAAGGAGGATTGCTTGAGGCTGTGGCGAGCTGTGATCACACTGCTGTGCTCCAGACTGGGTGACAGAGCAAGACCCTCCCCCTGACACACAGTAAAAAATAAAGTAAGAAAATAGGCAATATGAAACAAAATTTGAAAATATGATAAATGAATGTTATCTTTATAAATTCGCAGTGTGTAGATGCTTATAAAGTCCTTATCTCATTTGTGTTAAAAACAAGATAATCTATATTATCTACCTCCTTTTAAATTGTGTTTTGTTTTCAGACAAAGTTGTGTTTTGCTTTGAGGCAACTAGACCATCTATCTTGTGTTCATTCACAATAAGGAACATCTTCTATTAGATAAAGGAGAAATGGTTAGATTGTAATGTAGTTTCAAACCTGATCATACATTAGAGACACATGAAAGAATATTTCATTTACTTACATGTTAAATATTTCCATTTGTAGATAATAAAGTTCCTACTCATCTTTAATAAAAACACAGGGAGTTTGGAAGGCCCAAAACAAACCTATAAATAGTATTTATCTTAAGTAACTCTTTTTAAAGCTCTACTCCATCCACAGGGAAGACTTAGAGAATACTAGATTAGGACCAAAATTTTGGGAACAGTACAGCACTATCAGTGTGTGAACAATACCATCATCTGTCTCAGTTATCAAATTAAGACGTCATTCATGCTTGTCTTAAGTCATGTTCACTAGAAGTAGAGTTTGGGACAGGAATTCTTATGTGAATAATTTATTGGGGGAACGTAAGGGATAAAATAGTGCAGGATAAGAAAAGCGAAAGACGAGAATGTGGTCTCAGACAAAGCTTGGCCTTGGCCTGATACATAAACATAAACCTGCTCCCAATATTTCTATGTTAAGAAAAGGAGCCAGCCTTTTATCTTTTTTTTTCTTCGTTTTTTTTTTTTGTTTTTTAGTCTTTCTGGAGTGAGGTATCTCAGCCAAGGGCAATTCTCTAAAGACAGCTGTTGGTAAGCAAAACATACAGCAGGTTCCAGTGGATGTGCTGCCTTGGATCATAGAAATAGTTTCTGTAATACCCTCTCTTCCTTTACATGAAATCAAGGAAAATTCTATCCATTATTTCTTATAAATATTTCTTGATCTGATCTTATCATTCTTTTTCTCAGTGCCCTACCTTAGTTTAGGTTCTATCTTAGACCACTGCAGCAGCCTCCTAAATCATCTCTGAACCTCCACATTGCAGTCAATTATTTTCATAGAGCACAGACTATTATTTTCTCCTTAAAATCCCATTACCTAAATAATTTTATTTTTTTAAACTGACTTGTCCTAATCCCCACCCCATATATATTATTTAAGGTTGAGAAACATTTATCCAAGATAAAGTTTTCTGCCAACGGTCTCTCCCCTCTCTTTCATTTTGTTGACAGAAAGTAGTTAGTGTGCTTTCCATCTCTAAATTGCAGAGCTTTGCACAGCATTCAATAATACTTATTGAGGACAATTAATTACAGACATTTAATGAGAAAAGGATGAATTCTGATGCCATTGATATCTGGGCTCAAGTCTTACTTTGGGCAAATTAAGAACTCTGCTTTGCCTCAGATTCCTCACTTGTAAGGTAAGGACATTTTCATGAAAATATTTTTGAGATAATTATGTAATATACATTAGGAGAAATTACTGATATAAGCAATAGATAAATTTTGTTTCTACCTTCCTAGAGGTGTCCTGTATAGTGCTGGTCACATAATGTGGGTTCAACAAATATCAGGGCTTTGGTCCAGCCAATTCAAAGTTTCATTGGTTTTCTTTGTATTTTCTTTCAGAATTAATTCCCTTCATTCTATGATTATATATAAACATCATTTTGTATACTTTTGCTAACATGAAAATTATGAAATTATTTTGAAAATATTAAGAAAAGATTGTCATTCTGTATTAATTAATAAAAAATGTATTTTCTCTAACATTCTTTGGATTACACATTATTTGCATATCAATACTTCTGAGGAAAGAGACTCAAAAAGTAGAAAAAAGAATTTCCTTTCAAAAAAGGTATTTAGGTAATGGTGTGCTGGAGCTGACTCGCACAAGTGCTTCAGATACAACTGTGTATATCTCTTTTCAATTGTGTGTAGTGTCACCATGTTGATGGTTTGAAGTCAGCCACAGTATTTATACCGTGTAAACTACAGAAATTTTTAAATGCTGCAAAACACAGCTTCATTCCCCAGCACAACAGTGCCAGTTTTAAAGCACTTCCCAGTACAGCACTATATTTAATCCAGGAGTTCAATTATCTTCTCATCGATGGCAGACAAAGGCAAAAGGACAAATTAACAGAATTGTATATGCAGATAATCATTGAAAACTATGCACACTGTTTTCAAATCTCCAGTATTTAAAGACAAATTAACAATCTGTGGAGGAGAATACAAAAATCTCACTTATTCTTTGCTTAATATCAATTTCTATAATATTTTCTATCAAATCGGGGCAGGAAGGGGCTGGAGAAGATGGAAAGAACACATAGAGTAGTTTGCATGTGGGGACACACAGAAAAGCACAAAAGGCTTTATAAAACAAGGACCATGTAATTCTGTAAGTAGATGTAATGTGGCTCTTCCTTAATTCCACACACTAGAGTTACCGGCCTACCCAGTGCCTCCTTATTATGCAGTTGTATCCTTAATTAACACACTATAAACACAAGCTTTTTAATTCACAGTTTTACTTCTTGCTATTTGCTTTCTTTAAACCTGTATTTCTGGCTATTATATATCTTGAATATCTTAATCGTAAAGAACTAGTAAACTTTTTCGAGTTGCTTCTCTTTTAGCAAGAGTAAACATTAACTGCCTTAGAAGTCTATTCCTTGTCAGACTTCGTATTATCTGAACTGCTACAAAGTTTTCTCAAGTAGACTCTTCCTTCCATGGTTAGGAGATGTGGAACATTCGCACTGGCCACATTGCCAAGATTTCCATATTCTATAATAATGTCTCTGCTACAATTCTGTGCTAGGCAATATATGAAAAACTTCAAAGGAAACAGAAAAATAGAGAAAACTTTGTAAAAGAATTGATTTATTCATGTAAAACTAACTGAGTGGCTTTAAAAGATTTACAAATGATGGGAAATTAATTATTTTACAAAATAGCTTTTCCATATATTATGGTTCAAAACACAGCTTGTCACAAGGAGTCTACTGGTCATCAACTTTTTAAAATGACTACTATTTCTACTATTTTCTATTCAAATTTTAGTTTTTCCAAGCATATATTATGGTTTTTTTAAATTAACATTTCAGTAATCATCAACAAGAATTTTCCCAAAATCTCAATATTGATAGTGATAAAGACAAGAAAGTAGAATGTGTTAGGAAAAATCATTGATATTAACGAAATAAATACTAGACAATTATAGACAATCTCCTTGGTATAAGGAGATTGCTTATACCAGAATCTGAAGCAAAATGATGTGTTGTTCATTTGCCATGAAGAATCAATATTTCCTCTTGCCTGCCTTTATCACCCTCTGTGATCTATGACTTAGCACTGCTTTCAGAACACTGAAAAATACATACACTGTAGACACTCAATTTACTTTTTCAAATTCAGTCTTGGATGAAGTAGAGAGATGGTTTCCGAAATTCAGTTATACAGCACACTTCAGAATGGGTAACTACATCATTCCAATGGAAACAATTGCTTTTCTTTTCTCTTTTTTTTTTTTCTTTTTGATTTCCAACTTTTATTTTAAGTTCAGGGCTATATGGGAAGGATGTGCAGGTTTGTTACACAGGTAGATGTGTGCTATGGTGGCTTGCTGTACAGATCATCCCATCACTTAGGTATTAAGCCCAGTACCCATTAGCTATTCTTCCTGATGCTCTCCCTCCTCCCACCACCACCCTCTGACAAGCCCCAGTATGTGTTGTTAACTACCATGTGTCCATGTGTTCTCATCATTCAGCTCCGACTTAAAAGTAAGAACATGCAGTATTTGGTTTTCTGTTTCTGCATTGGTTTCCTGAGGTTAATCACTACCAGCTCCATCCATGTCCCTGCAATGGACACAATCTCATTCCTTTTTATGGCTGCATAGTATTTCATGGTGTGTATGTACCACATTTTCTTCATCCAGTCTATCATTGATGGACATTTAGATTGATTCCATGAAGCTCTTCCAAAAGAGAAGGATATCCTCCCTAACTCATTCTATGAGGCCAGCATCATCCTGATAACAAAACCTGGCAGAAATACAACAGATAAAGAAAACTTCAGAACAATATTCTTGTTGAACACCAATGCACAAACTCTTGACAAAATAATGCCAAACCAAATCCAGCAGCACATCAAACAGCTTATGCACCATGATCAAGTAGGCTTCATCCCCGGGATGCAAGTTTGGTTCAACATATACAATTCAATAAATATGATTCATCACATAACCAGAACTAAAGACAAAAACCACATGATTATCTCAATAGATGCAGAAAAGGCCTTTGATAAAATTCAATACCCCTTCATGTTAAAAATTCTCAATAAACTAGATATTGAAGGAACATACTTCAAAATAATAAGATCCATATATGACAAACCCACAGCCAATATCATACTGAATGGGCAAAAGCTGGAAGCATTCCCTATTGAAAACTGACACAAGACAAGGATGCTCTCTCTCACCACTCTTCTTCCACATAGTATTGAAAGTCCTGGCCAGGGCAATCAGGCAAGAAAAAGAAATAAAGGTATTCAAATAGGAAGAGAGGGAATCAAACTATCTTTGTTTGCAGATGATGTAATTCTATCTCTAGAAAACCCCATTGTCTCTGTCCAAAAGCTTCTTAAGCTGAAAAGCAACTTCAGCAGAGTTTCAGGATACAAAATCAGTGTGCAAAAATTGCTAGCATTCCTATACACCAACAACAGGCAAGCCAAGAGCCAAATCGTGAATGAACTCTCATTCTTTTTTTTTTTATTTATACTTTAAGTTTTAGGGTACATGAGCACAATGTGCAGGTTAGTTACATATGTATACATGTGCCATGTTGGTGTGCTGCACCCACTAACTCGTCATCTAGCATTAGGTATATCTCCCAATGCTATCCTTCCCCCCGCCCCCCACCCCACAACAGTCCCCAGAGTGTGATCTTCCCCTTCCTGTGTCCATGTGATCTCATTGTTCAATTCCCACCTATGAGTGAGAATATGCGGTGTTTGGTTTTTTGTTCTTGCAATAGTTTACTGAGAATGATGATTTCCAGCTTCATCCATGTCCCTACAAAGGACATGAAATCATCATTTTTTATGGATGCATAGTATTCCATGGTGTATATGTGCCACATTTTCTTAATCCAGTCTATCATTGTTGGACAGTTGGGTTGGTTCCAAGTCTTTGCTATTGTGAATAGTGCCGCAATAAACATACGTGTGCATGTGTCTTTATAGCAGCATGATTTATAGTCCTTTGGGTATATACCCAGTAATGGGATGGCTGGGTCAAATTGTATTTCTAGTTCTAGATCCCTGAGGAATCACCACACTGACTTCCACAATGGTTGAAGTAGTTTACAGTCCCACCAACAGTGTAAAAGTGTTCCTATTTCTCCACATCCTCTCCAGCACCTGTTGTTTCCTGACTTTTTAATGATTGCCATTCTAACTGGTGTGAGATGATATCTCATTGTGGTTTTGATTTGCATTTCTCTGATGGCCAGTGATGGTGAGCATTTTTTCATGTGTTTTTTGGCTGCAAGCTGATAAACAACTTCAGCAAAGTCTCAGGATACAAAATCAATATACAAAAATCACAAGCATTCTTATATACCAATAACAGACAGAGAGCCAAATCATGAGTGAACTCCCATTCACAATTGCTTCAAAGAGAATAAAATACCTAGGAATCCACCTTACAAGGGACATGAAGGACCTCTTCAAGGAGAACGACAAACCACTGCTTAATGAAATAAAAGAGGATACAAACAAATGGAAGAACATTCCATGCTCATGGGTAGGAAGAATCAATATCGTGAAAATGGCCATACTGCCCAAGGTAATTTATAGATTCAATGCCATCCCCATCAAGCTACCAATGACTTTCTTCACAGAATTGGAAAAAACTACTTTAAAGTTCATATGGAACCAAAAAAGAGCCCACATCGCCAAGTCAATCCTAAGCCAAAAGAACAAAGCTGGAGGCATCACACTACCTGAGTTCAAACTATACTACAAGGCTACAGTAACCAAAACAGCATGGTACTGGTACCAAAACAGAAATATAGATCAATGGAACAGAACAGTGCCCTCAGAAATAACTCTCATTCTTAATTGCTTTTCTAAACTCTATAAATGGAACTAGTAAGTTAAGGTGTAAACAAGGGGCCTCCCTTGCCAGGCAGCCAACTGAAGGTGCATGAAACCAGATCTTCAACTAATCACAACTGGATAAGACAAACTACAAAAGGAAATGAGAAAAAATCTCAGGAAAGCAAATGGATATGTTAAGGATGATATGCTATTTCAATAAACTTTTCAATCTGTTATTACAGTCCCTCTGCAAGCACGAAGAAAGGAAAATAATGATGTGCTGAAATATTCTAATTCTTTTCCTGCAATCAATGTAGCAGACCTAGTATAAATACCCCCAATTTTTTTTTTGAAATTTCAAATCAAACTCCTTTAAAAATATTCTGTAATTTAGGAAATCCTCTGGATTTATTCCAGTTAAGATAAAGAATACCTCCACTGTTTTGGTATCCTAGTGTTTCTCTCCTCTTATTTCTTCCAATACAGTTCAATTCTGAAATCCTCTGGGGAATCTACGCTTCTTCAACCTCAATCTTTTTTGAGACAATATATAAATCTCATTCTTAATATTTTCATCTTTACCAGAGTGGTGATTTGATATGCTTGTTTGTGTGTGTCTTTTTTTAAATTCTAAATGAATTGGGCAAAAAATATTCTAAATACAGTTTTCATTAATGATGTCATACAATATAGTACATTTGGGGCACATTTTCTGGCAACTGAATGTAATAATATGGGGATATTTTAGTGTTTTTGTCTCTAAATGAGTTAGATAAACTATATAACACCTAAACACACTGGTGTTAGGTTATATACTGGTCTGTATATACCACTACAATAAAATAAAATATTTACTGAAGCATTTTTTTCCTCCTGGCATGTAAAAAAACTTGTAACTACTTTCTAAACAAACCTTTCTACACATCATTTACTTTCTTAGATGCAAAGTTGGCATCATTATTAAACATGTGAACAGTGGAGCAATATGTTCTGAATTACTTACATATCTGTTAGAAGCTGGAGTCTTTTCCCTCATCATTTATAGTAGCTGTACATACAGAGTAACCAGCAATCTTGGGCAAGCAGTCAGAACAGTCAGAACAAACGGGCTCGATCCTTCCTCCAATGGCTTCATGCAATGTATTTCTTTCTTTCTTAAGAAATTCCCTATAAAACATCACATTCATGAAGTATAGAAACATTTCATGGGAGGCCGAGATGGGTGGATCACGAGGTCAGGATATCAAGACTATCCTGGCTAACACGGTGAAACTCCATCTCTACTCAAAATACAAAAAATTAGCCGGGCATGGTGGCGGGCGCCTGTAGTCCCAGCTACTCAGGAGGCTGAGGCAGGGTGAATTCAGGAGGCGGAGCTTGCAGTGAGCCGAGATCGCGTCACTGCACTCCAGCCTGGGCGACAGAGCGAGACTCTGTCTCAAAAAAAAATAAAAGAAACATTTGAAAATTTCTAATTGAGCATTAGGAAATTATCTGTCTTTAAAAAAAAAGAAGAGACAAACAGATTTACATAGGCACTGTTTTGAGGATTTTTATATAGAAAACTCCAAGGCTAGTCTGCTGATATTTTTTAAAAGATTAAAAACACAAAAACTGTACATTCTTGATAAAATAGGATTAATTCAAAAAATAAAAAAGTCCTCTTCTTTTTAGAAAGTGATGTTTTATTTGATTTTAAATTTGTCTAATCATTGATAAAATAACTGATATATTCAACTGTCTCATTTGATATGAGGACATAATTAGTTCAGACAAGCAATCTGTGAAAACAAATGCCCAGAATGGCCAGAATAATCAGGGTTCTAGATTTAGTAAATGCTCCACGGCATATTGCATATAAGCCATTATAATAAGAATATAAGTGAAAATTTAATTGATAATAGTTACGAGCCAGCAGTAGAAGGTGATGGGGGATTTTATGTAATAAGAACCTTTAGAAAGATAACTTTAATATTTTATGAATATATACATAGACAATATGTACTTTAAACAAATTTTAGATAATAAAATTTTTCTCAAGGTACTTTATAAGGAATTTAAAAGTTTTTAAGCTCTTAGAAATATTAGGAATGTGATGAGGAAGAGAGCTATACATTCCAAGATTAATTCAAATTATGCCACATTTTGCAACAGACATAAAAAGAAAAATTCAAGTGTTAACAATCATCCAGCTAAAATAAGAATGTCAAGCCAAAGTCTTTATGTCCTTACATAATAGAATTTTTTATTTGGGTAATCTGGATGATTAAATAATGTTATGATACTTTATTTTCTTAACATATGTAAGAGAATAACTTATAAAAATGTTTACAAAATACATACCTATTTGATTACTGAAAATTACAAGAACACAATGCACTTTAGAAAGGATGTTATTAAAACATAAAACAGCTTTTATAAAAAAGACAATGACAATTATAGTATAATAAATATCATATCCTGTTCACTCTCTATTATGTTGTGGGTGGCAGAGAGGTGGCTGGCATCACACTTTTCTGTACCTTTATGTTTATAATTTCAGTAAGCTACATGAGCTGAAATATTTAATGCTTGAATTATTTGCACACTATAAAATGGTTTTCATTTGCAATCAGTTTTGAATATTAGATTTTTAATAAGGAACTGCTGGGTAGAACTACACTAATTACATCTTATTTATGTCTGCTGAAGTTAAAAATAGCTTCATCTTCATAAAATTGTACCATTTGTCTGGTGTTCTGTTCTGGCATGTTTGTGTATTTTTTAAACACTTTTTTTATATTATTCCTGCTGATATTCAAATAGTGCTATTATCTTAGCTTAGCTTCGCCCTTCTTTTGCTATCTACCAATTTATCATGTTTATTTTGCCCAAAAAAAGTCTCTATATTGCTATCGTATTTTTCAGACAAAGCTACAATTTCTTTCATAGAAGTTTAGAACTATGAATTGGGACTAAATGTAGCTACTGAAAAATAATAATATGTAAGGGGTAAAATGTCTAGTTTGCACGTTGTTAAAAGAGCTACAAATATTTTGGGGTTGCTAAGGAATAAATACAGGAAAATCTTGAAAAAACATTAACATGTGGTAGAAAAAGTAGTGAAGAATCAAATAGACAATAATCAGAAATAAATTTCAGATCTATTTCTATGATTGGGAGCTAAAATATTGTCCTTTCTTTTGTTAACAAAAAGGCATAAATGCCAAGCAATAGTTGGACCAGCAAGATAAAGAAAATGGAGGATGAACATACGCTGGTACTGTAACTATGGAGACAGAATTTCTTCCCTTTGAAATCCAAAGCATGTACACAAAAGTAAGGCCTCTCACATGTCATTAAAATTTTTATTTTACATTTATTCCTTAATCAATAGAAAAAAATGTACATTACAAGATAAATTTGAGGATTAAAAAGTAACTGGCTGGGTACGGTGGCTCACACCTGTAATCTCAGGACTTTGGAAGTCCAAGGAGGGCAGATTACTTGAGGTCAGGTGTTGGAGACTAGCTGGCCAACATAGTGGAACCCCGTTGCTACTTAAAATACAAAAATTAGCCAGGGGTGGTGGCATGAGCCTGCTATCCCAGCTGCTTGGGAGGCTGAGGCAAGAAAATCGCTTGAACCAGGGAGGCGGAGGTTGCATTGAGCAACTGCACTCCGGCTTGGGCGGCAGAGCAAGACTCCGTCTCAAAAAAAAAGTAATTTAAGTAAATATTAGTTCGAAAATTATAAAAGCATGTGTAAATAAATTTCTAAATATTTGGCGTTTTCTATACATTGAAATCAATTTTTCAAGGATTTTTGAATGAATGGAAATACTCACTTTGAATCTTTGGTATGTTTACTAATCTACTATCCCTTGCTCTGAAGTTTGATTTTCTGCTTGTTACCTTAATTTCTTTTTTTTTCTGCTTTTTAACACTACAAATGTAATATACTTTACGTATAAGAAAAAGTTGAGGCCAGGCGTGGTGGCTCGTGGCTGTAATCCCAACACTTTGGGAGTCTGAAGTGGGTGGATTACTTGAGCTCAGACAAGTCTGGGAAACATAGTAAAACCCTGTCTCTACCAAAAGTATAAAAATTTTTTGGGCATAGTGGTGAACACTTGTAATCCCAGCCACTGGGGAGGCTGAGGCCTGAGAATCACTTGAGCCCAAGAGGTGGAGGTTGCTGTGAGCCAAGCACTCCAGACTGGATGACAGAGTGAGACTCTATCTCAAAGAGAAAGAAAGAGAGAGAAAGAAAGACAGAGAGAGAGAGAAAGAAAGAAAGAAAGAGAAAGAAAGAAAGATTGAAGTAACACATTTTTGTGTAATATAGTCAGTTTCCACTTTCTTTTTCTTTTTTCTTTTTGGTTTGTTTGTTTTTTTGAGACGGAGTCTCGCTCTGTTGCCCAGGCTGGAGTGCAGTGGCAGGATCTCGGCTCACTGCAAGCTCCGCTTCCCAGCTTCACGCCATTCTCCTGCCTCAGCCTCCAGAGTAGCTGGGACTACAGGCGCCCGCCACAACACCCGGCTAATTTTTGAATTTTCAGTAGAGACAGGATTTCACCATGTTAGCCAGGATGGTCTCGATCTCCTGACCTCGTGATCCTCCCGCCTCGGCCTCCCAAAGCACTGGGATTACAGGCGTGAGCCACCGCGCCCGACCCTCTTTTTTTTTTTTTTTTTTTTTTTTTTTTTTTTGAGATGGAGTCTCGCTCTGTCGCCCAGGCTGGAGCGCAGTGGCGTGATCTCTGCTGGCTGCAAGCTCCGCCTCCCAGGTTCACGCCATTCTGTCTCAGCCGCCCTAGTAGCTGGGACTACAGGTGCCTGCCACCACGTCCAGCTAATTTTTTTTGTATTTTTAGTAGAGACGGGGTTTCACCGTGTTAGCCAGGATGGTCTCGATCTCCTGACCTCGTGATCCTCCCACCTCGGCCTCCCAAAGTGCTGGGATTACAGGCCTGAGCCACCGCACCCGGCCTGTACTAAAAGTCTACTAATGTTAATTAAACCTTATAAACAAAAACACAACAAAAATAAAAACTTTGCTCTTCAATGATTTCATCTTATTTTTAAAACATAATAAAATTGGATTGAACAATTGTTATACATTCAGACTAGTTGCTTAATTTGGTAGCTTTAATTTGAAAATATATGCAAAATTCAATAGGACCCAGGTAAAATGGAACATTTATATAAACTGACAAGCCTTTACATTTAGTAATTCTAATTATTTTATTTTATTGTAAAATATAAACGGACAAGTACTAGCTCAAGTTGTAACACTGCTTTAAATGTTGCTTTTGAACTTTGGCTTCCAGAAAAGATGAGTAACATGGACCTAATTTTTCCTTCTTCCCGAATCAACTATGAAATTTAACAATATATATGAAATAACAGTTTCAAGACACTGGACATCGGGCAGGCATTAATCCCTGAGAGATGGGGCACAAATGTACTGGACTATATGATATCCGTAAATTATGGGCTAGAGTGAGTTTCCAGGCTGCAACTCTTCGAAAAGAGGAATGCAGGTAAAGCCTGGTGGCCTCCCTGAATTGAGAAGGCAGAGCTGGAAAATTAGGGAGATCAAAGCAGCTATACTTCACCCAGTGGAGTACAAGTGCAGAGAAAGTGGCAAAGACCTACATAAAGCACCCCTAGGTTCTTCAGCTGACTTCAGCTGACTACTGATGAACAGATAAGTGCAAGGAAAACACCTAAGGCCAGGGAAAGAACCATCAGGAAACAGACTCATGAATGATGGAGTTAAGAAAACAGGGACACTAAATAGTTATTACAACTACATTCCATATATTCAAGGAGGTAGAGCAAAGAGTGAACATGTTAAATAGACACAAGAAAGATATAAAGATACATATGAAACTTAAAGAGATGAAAAATACAATTGAGATATAAAATAGACTTAATGGGATTAACAACAGATTAGAACTGGAAAAGAGTAGTAAACTTGAAGAAATAGCCATAGAAATTAGAAAAAGAACATCTGAATTAAAAATAAACAGAACTTAAGTGATCTGTGGAAAAACTTGAACTGGCTTAGTATATAGTATATATGTAGTTGAAATTTCAGAAAAAAAAGAGAGAGTGGTCAGAAAAATTAATGGCCACATTTTCCAGATTTAATGACAACTACAAACCTGCAGATGAACAAAACCCAATGAACTACAAGCATAAGAAACATGAGCAAAATTACACCAAAGGTGATCATAATCTGGATAATAAAAACCAGAGATAAAAATAAACTCTTAAAGCCAATCAGAAGAAAAAGGAGATATGATATACAAAGGACGAAATATAAGAAAGACTTATTCTCTGAAAAACTGCAAATCAGAAAACAATGGAGTAAGTACCTTAAAGTAATGAAAGAGAAAAAATGTCAATCTGGAATTTTATATCTGGCTAAAATATTTGTAAGCAAGGAAGTTGAAATAAAGACATTCTTATACATAAAAAGTTGTATGTATTCATCTACAGCAGACATGCACAACAAAATATTCTAAAGGAAGTTTTCCAAGTTGAAAAAATGATATCTGAATAAAAATATGGACTGACATAAAGGAATGAAGACAGAAGGAAATGTAAATATAACATAATAATATAAATATATAAATAATATAAATATTATGTAAATATAACATCCATTTTTCTATATCTCTTTAAAACATAAATGACTCTTTAAAACAAGATAATAATACAATGTTGTGTGTTTCATATCACGTAGAAAATAAAAACGTGATAACAATAGAACTGGTAATGGAAAACTGAAGTGTGTGATTAAAGTTTATTTTACTAGACATGAAGTGATCCAATATTAGCTTAAGGTTGACTTTGGTAAGTTACTGGTGTATACTATAAACATCACAGTATAGCCCTAAGCTGCTAAAAAATAAAGTTAATAAAAATTAGAGCTAACAAGGCAACAAAAGACATAAAATGGAGTCATAAAACATACCCAATTCATCCAAAAGAAGGCAGAAACATGAAGACAGAGAATAGAATGATAGAAAACAGAGGCTGGAAGGGTGTGTGGGTGGGGGAAGGGGATGAAGAGAGGTTAGTTAATGGGTACAAACACACAGTTAGATAGCACAGAAGGGTAATTATGACTAACAATGTATTATGTATTTCAAAACAGCTAGTAGATAGAACGTTCCCAATATGTGGAAATGACAAATACTGAAGCTAATGGATACTCTAAATGCCATGACATGATGATTACACATTCTATGCATGTAACAAAATATCACATGTATCCCATAAGTATGTACAAATATTATGTTTCAATAAAACAATTAAAACAAAAAAGTGCATGTATTCAAATCATGGTAGATGGGGAGGTTTCTTACTTTCTCAGTATGAAAACCTGGGCAAGTTACTTAAGCTCTCATTGTTTAAACGTATTTGCTAAATAAGAATAATTATAATAATGCCTCCCTCATAAGCTTGTTGAATAGAATAATTAGGTATCATTTCTGGAACATAATAATAGCTCAATGCTTGTTAGCTGTTATTGATACAGGATAGGGGCAGGAAGTGCTAGGTAGAGCAGGTGAGGTCCCTGGCAAGGGCTCCAATCCTCTCTTGGGCCTGTGCCCACATACCTAAGTGAGAACAGGCACTCCTGTTTTCACGCACAAATGTTGCATTTTCCAAGACCACTTGGGCCCACCATGCCCCCTATCCTGTGCCCATAAAAACCCGAGCCCCTAGCGGACACACACACAAGCAGCTAGACATTAAGAGGAGCAGAGGAGCAGAAGAGCCCACTGACAGGCACCAGCAGATGCCTGCAGGCCATCCATGGCAGGAGGACATGGAATGTGGTCGGGGGCAGTCAACCGCTGGGCGGCCCAATGCCAGGGGAAGAACATCTCCATGCTACATCCTCTTTCTGGCCTCCTCATCCACCTCACTGGGAGCTACCTCCTCTAAATAAAACCTTGCACCCATCTTCCAAGCCCAAATGTGATCCGATTTTTCCTGCACAGTAGGGCAAGAATCTGGGATACAGAAAGTCGTTTGTTCTTGTGATAAGGCAGAGGGTCTAATTGAGCTGATTAACACAAGCCTCCTGCAGATGACAAAGCTGAAAGAGCACACTGTAACACACGCCCGCTGGGGCTTTGGGAGCTGTAAACACTCAACTCTAGATGCTGCTGTGGAGTTGGAACACAAAAACGCTCCCCATGACCTGCCAGTCTGCATGCTCCCCTTGGGGGTTTGAGCAGAGCACCAAAGTAACAAGCCACACCCCTGTCAAGCACACCCTGAGAGGGGGATAAGGGAACTTAATTCTGTTTCATTATTATTACCTAACTTAAGATCATCAGTGTTATCTATTTTTATTATGTAAACATTAATATGTAGCATTCATAAGAAATAATCCAGAAAAACAGGAAAACAAAAACAATAATCAATGTTCTCATGTAAAAAAAGGTACAAACAAAGTGAAATTTATTGATTCAACAGATATTTGAGTAACTGCCATGTACCGGACACTTACTTTCTACCAATGAAGGAATGAAAGACAAAAAACAAATAAGGAATGATTATTGTATGTTAGAAATGACAAGGGTGAGCTATGTCAGAATATAAATTAGAAAAGGGGTCTGATGTGGAATTTCATGTAAGCTTGTAAAGAAAACTTTTTTGAGAGGGTGACTTTAGATAAAAACCTAAGGAAGTAAAGGAGCTAATCATGTGAACATGTGTAAAAAGCAGATTCTAGGAAGAGAGAATGGCAACTGGAAGGGTCCTTAGTTAGGAACATGCTAGTTTGTTCTAGAAACAGCAAGGACAATCAGTTTTTTTCTTTTATTTTTTTTATTATGTTTAATAAGCCCTTAATGGCCAGGAGATGGGACTAATATGAGACAAATCTGGATGGCTCTAAGCTTTGTTTTCTCATAGTGTGCTTTTGGTTTTATGTCCAGCTTGCTGGCTCTGGTCATGGCCTCCCTGCTGGAACACTGGCTGTGGAGCACATAGAACATCTGTGTGCAGTCTGTCTTCCAATGACAGAAATTTGAAGGACAACAAGCACTCCATTTGTAAGCACCACCCCCCACCTCCCACATCAACACACACATAACATAAACTATATTATATACGCACTGCGTGGTGCGCTCATCTGATACATGCTAAATCACTGGACTATCAGATATCTCATGCACCACATGTACCACTAAAGGTGTTATGTCCATGACCTCTTTCACAAATAGTGGTGGAAGCAAAGGAAGGGTTGATAGCATTTTCCAAGTCCTGTTTTGAGTTGGCTGGCCAACATTATCAGTTACCCAAACTATCAATAACAGATACTTAAACCTTCTGTTCATAGTTGGGGCTTTCTTTACAATCCCTTCATTCTGCAATTCACATGAACCTTACGTATGTCCACTTAGCCAGGAGATGTTTACTAGCCATGCCCCCTCCTGAAATAAGTTGGACCCCCTAAAGGCAGTGCAGCTCTTAAGAGACCTTTTTATGCACCATTAAGAGGAACAGGATCAATATTCCTACACCATTTTTTTATCCTCTTCTCCCTACATGTGTCTAGCTTATCACAAACTAAAGACTTCTTGTGACTTTGTGTATTTATTCATTCAGGTATATTTATTGAGCATCTACTATGAGCTAGGCATGGTTCCAGTTTCTGGGAATAGAACAATGACAAATCAGACAAAACTCCAACTCCTTGAAGCTTACAGGCTAGAGAAGAAGGTAATCAACAAGATAAATAAATAAATGTAAATAAATGAACATATGCTAAATAGTATTAAGTTTTATGATTAAAAACATGCAGCAGGGAAGTAAGACACAGAAGAAAGAGAAGTTGAAATTACATATATGGTATTTGAAGTAAGTGAGGGATATCTGAGGAGAAACTATTCCAGAAAAAAGGAATGGCAAGTGGAAATGAATGTTCCTAAAATGATTAATAAAAGAGCTAAGAGAGATGAAGTAGGGGGATAAGGAGGCAGGTGGTAAGAAATGAATGCAGTGAGGTAATAAGGATTTTGGGCTAACTTTACTTAAGTCTGTTTTTACCGCGAATGAGATGGAAAGCCATTAGAGAGTTTTTAGAATAAAAGCTACATGGGTGTTTTGAGGCCGGGCGAGGTGGCTCACGCCTGTAATCCCAGCATTTTGGGAGGCCAAGGCGGGCAGATCACGAGGTCGGGAGATCGAGACCACCCTGGCTAACACGGTGAAACCCGGTCTCTACTAAAAATACCAAAAAAAAAAAAAAAAAAAAAAAAATTAGCTGGGCGCGGTGGTGGGAGACTGCAGCAGGAGAATGGCGTGAACCCAGGAGGCGGAGCTTGCATGGCTAACACGGTGAAACCCAGTCTCTACTAAAAATAGAAAAATACAAAAAAAAAAAAATAGCCGGGCGTTGTGGCGGGCGCCTGTAGTCCCAGCACTTTGGGAGGCCGAGACGGGAGGATCACGAGGTCAGGAGACCGAGGTCATCTTGGCTAACACGGTGAAACCCCGTCTCTACTAAAAATACAAAAAATCAGCCGGGCGTGGTGGCGGGCTCCTGTAGTCCCAGCTACTCGGGAGGCTGAGACAGGAGAATGGCGTGAACCTGGGAGGCGGAGCTTGCAGTGAGCCGAGATCGCGCCACTGCACTCCAGCCTGGGCGACAGTGCAAGACTCTGTGTCAAAAAAAATAATAATAATAATTGCTACATGGGTGTTTTGATAGAACCACTATGGATTCTGTGCTGAGAATGGCAATGACTGTTTTGGGGAGGGAAAGCAGAGGATGGGAGAGCATAATCAGGAAAAACAGTAATGAGGCTATTGTAATTACTCAGGTTAGAGAAGATGAACCAGGGTGTTAGAAGTGGAGTGGAGAAAAAATAGTCAAATTCTGAGTTTCTTTTGAAGATAAAAACTAATATAATCTACTAATGGACTGGTGTCAAAGATCACCCCAACGTTTTTCCCCCAAGCAACTCTGAGAATGGAATTGTCCTTAATTGAAACAGAGAAATTTCAGGAGAAGCTGGTGGGTAGTGTGGTTAATGGGAGGTCCTTTTTGGACATATTAGTATTGCAAATAGTTTATCAAAGACGTCAAGGAGAGCAGCAGATTGTACAGTGGAGCTGTCACCAGCCCATCAAATGCATAGCTAGAACCTGAGCTTCCTCCAATAAAAGAATAAAGGTAGCAGGAATAAAAATAATCTTAAAAACCTAAAGTGTTATTTTTTGAAGTAATCTTAAAGATCTAAAGTTTTTAAAAGAATATTACAATTTCTAAGTGTTGAAGATATACACCATTTATGCAACGTTACATAACTAGGCTTAACCTCTATATTACATCTGCATACAATGTGAACATAATATAACTTAGCTATTTCAAATTTATAAATATTTTATATGGAGACTTATTACAATGAAATGTGCCAATATGTAGAAATTAAACTAGTTATATTTCAACAGAATGTAGGAAAAATATTTTTAAAAGATACCTATTACAGTTGACATTTGAGCAACATGGGTTTGAACTATGCAGGTCCATTTACCTGTGGATTTTTTTTTCTAAGTTACATCAAGTATGCCTGCCTTTCCTGTTCCCCTTTCACCTCCTCCACCTCTTCTGCCTCTCTCACCCCTGCACAAGACTAACGCCTCCTCTTCCTCCTTCTTCTTGGCCTCCTGAATATGAAGAGGACAAGAATGAAGACCCTTACAATGACCCACTTTTACTTAATGAATAGTAAATATATTTTCTCTTTCTTATGATTTTCCTAATAACATTTTCTTTTCTCTAGCTTACTTTATTGTAAGAATGTAGTATATAATACATGTAACACCAGGAATATTTGTTAATAGGCTGTTTATGTTATCAGAGAGGCTTCTGGTCAATAGTAGGCTATTAGTAGTTAAGTTTTGGGGGAGTCAAATGTTATACAGATTTTTGACTGCACAAGGAGTCAGCTTCCCTAACCCTTGCATTGTTCAAGCATTAACTGTAGTTTTATATCAACATGTCCCAGGTAACTACCTTAGAGTGATAAATTCCAAAAATATGGAATGTTGAAAGGTTATTGTATTAAATAAAATTTATGTAGAAAAATGCATGCTTCTCTGATAGCTTTCGTATATTGTAATAAATATAAAAGCATTTTAAGCATAAAGCAAATATGAAATTCTTAGATAAACATTATTACAAGTACTTAAAGGAAGATTATATTGAATTACTCTTTAGGTTTACATATGGTTTAGGAGATACTGTGTTCTTACATGAGAATAAACTGCCAAGACTTTGTTATAAAACTAAAGGCAAAAATAATAATAGTTAAAAAGAAAAGAAAACCACAGCTACTTCAACTGATTAGGACCAGACTTCAAAATCCCTTGGAGTAAATCCTTAGATGCTTTGATTTGATAATTTCAAGAATATACAATTGTTAAAATCAACAACCCTAATGACCAAAAACAAATAGTGATAAAGTTTGAATCAGTTATTCTTTTTTAAATTCAAAAGGTAAACTAAATTTATGAACAGAAAAGTTATTTCTGAAGCCATATATTGTTAAATAATGTATTCTGATAAAGTTTGAAATAAGGCATTATATTTCGTCTCAGTCTCCTTCTTTAAATTAATTGAGCGAATTGTACTAATAACAAATCTATCATCACTTCATTAAAATCTACTGCAGTTTTTGACAGGCCATTCTATTCCCATGTTTTTAATTAACTTTGATGTAACTTGTTGATTTAGAAAGGTTTATTCCCCCTAATCACCTCTGGTATTCTAATTCATGACAGGACCACCCACAAAGGTTTCTGTTCAACGGGATTGTAAAAAGTTTTTTTAAAAAATAGGAACAAGAAAAGGTCATTTGCCTTATTAATTTTCATCTTTGATAGCAGTTTCTAAGCATAGATGTTATTTAAACATCACTGAAATTATCTAACACCTTAGCCATTTGGGATTTTTTTTTCAAATCACTGCCAAGTTCCACAAGAAATATACTTTAGTCTTTCTAGAATGAAATTGGAAGGGGTTTGCTTTTCATGAGTCTTCCATAATTTTACAACATGACTTTTGTCCCTTCTTTGATTTATCAGTGGAATTTCTGACCTAATGAAATTTGTTTTCTTTTTTTTTCATATACCTTCTTCCCTGTGGCATCCATACTTCAAAACGACAAGCAGTTTGGAAACTTGCTTTCACCTTTGGGCCATAATAATATAAAACAGCTAAAACCTATTTTTCAATCTACCTTACAGTTAAATCTAACAGCCTTTGTAACGGTCAGTTACCCTCATGGGTGAGCAAAGCTAATGCGCATGGAGGTCAGCAACAGTTCTGTGATGGATTTTGTTTTACTATGGTTTCTTAGGCCTCAAATATGCTTGTTCTTATAAGATTCCTGGAATAGGCTTGTAAATTAATTTCTAGCCATGGGAAACCTCCGTTACTTTATATTAAATCTCATCATCTTCCTAAAAGAAAATACCTAGAGTAAGTTTTCTACATTATTAAATGTTTTGTTAAGGTCCATTATTATTTCCATTGAGAAAACATCTTTTATATTAAACCGCACCTGTGTCAAATTGTTCCTTAAACAGTTTGGCAGGCCCTATGAATGGGAAGAGAATAACAAGTTGTTGGATACTTAAACTGTTGAAATAGCTACCCAGATATGCAATTAATTGCTGAATGACATCCCTGTAAATAATAAATAATAATGTTAAAATCTCATCCTAATCATAAATGGGTTTATAAATGCAAATGAGAATGTTTAGATGAAGTTTTTTTAATCCCTAAGAAGAATATACCAGTTAATCAGCTGCATCTTTATGCTCTTGACTGAAAACACGGATTTTCAGTTCTCTTTAGATTCAGGGCCATGTTTCCAGCTGCTTATGTCGCAGGACCCAAATAAATTTTGGTCCTTAAGATTTGCTTATGAATACAAATTTACATTATAAGTTTGTTTAGGTCCACTACCTAATTTAATTTAGGGCTAAAACCCATAATTTCCTAAAAGGTTTTTAAAGATATTCAATATTTCAAAATGTTTCTGAGATAGAGAAAATAGATTTTGGATTCCAAAAATATTTTTATTTGTAGGCTTCCAATATTCATATAGAATTCACATTCAGCTGTCATTATTAAAATTAAAACTTACTGATAGTGGATAATATTTTTATCTTATTTGAATTCTTATGCATTTCAAAAATATTTTAAATTTTTTACAGAGAAACAAAACTATATGAACAAAGGAGATTTAAAGTCAAATGAATTCAGGGAGAAGAAAGAGAAAACATTTCTCATATTTTTTAACAGCAAGCGCTAATTTTGTCACAAAATACTTTGTATACTTATATAAGACATGGATATGTTAAACAATTAAAATTAGATTCTAGCAAATCACCTATGTATGCAACCTTGTAAATAGTTTTATTACTGACCCTCACATAACCTGGAAACTTGTAAAGATGTATAATACGAACTAGTAATAATGTTTAGCATGAGTTAGATTTAACACAAAATACTTTTTTTAAATACTAACTGCTTAATTCAAATTTGCTTATTCTAAAGTTAATGCAGTATTGGGCAGAACATCTAAATCTGTTTTATGTAGCAATAAAAGGAAACACTGTACCATTTTACAAAAGTCAAACATCAGATGATGACCCATATTAAAAGGCCAATCACTTTATAAGCCATAAAATGAATACAATTGATTATTGATGATGATTTCATTCCTTTTTGAAAATAGACTCAAGTTTATTACCCTATGTTAATATGCCAGGGTAAAGCAGGCTTAGGTAATTACACTGTGAGTATTTTATCTCTGAATTATTAAACTTGTTTCTGCCTCCCTACACATTAATGTTAGAGGGTAATAGCAATGTTCTATTTTATCCAGTGCTTTACTTCACTTAATGCAATGATGCATGGTTTTCATTAAAGCATGAAGCAAAGGAATTGCAAAAAGAAAAAAAAAGTTAACATCTAAATTCAGGTCTAAATAACCTTACAAAAAAGAATTCAATGGTGGTAACAATCTCTGTCATGTTTAGGTAGGTATATAATGCAGTTGTAAGATAAACTATATGTTAAACTTTAGCATATAAAAGAGAACATCAAATCTTTGATGTTCCTATTACAATATTTTCAAGGTGATATCTCTAGGGTTGCTTTTTATACATAAATATCTGTTAAAAGTATCAAGCAGGTACAAAACATTCTACTGCCAGTCAATCAACTTTAGAGTTGTGCTTTTACCATTCTAATCAGCTTTAGAGTTGTGCTTTTACCATTCTAATCAGGTGAATTGCTCAATAAAGCAGTTACTGCTAATGATGCTGAAATAAAAGATGGTGTAATTGCCTATGTGTATTTTTTTGTCTCACTTTAAATTATAAACACTTTATTCTTGTTTGTGCCAAATGAATAAAATCAGTTATCATTTGCTTCTGTCTTTTTTGGAGTTATACATTTCATTTTTAATGTACAACAACAACTTGATTATCCAGAATGTTTGGGCACTGAAATTTTTTTGTAGGTTGAGGGATAAAATATAATTTCTGCCTTTAGGGAAGACTCTTTTCTATTCTGGCCTTAACTGTGAGCTCTGTGTTACACCTCTGCTCACAATGTTGTGATGGCATATTATTATCATGGCTTTCATAATTTTATTAGTGAACAAATGAAACAGGCAAAAGTAGGACACTGATTGAAGTTGACTGCCCTCTCACCTACAGCCACGCACTGCTCTTTGTATATTAGTTTTGCCTATTTTTGAACTTCATATAAGTATAATCATACTATATACTCACCATAGTACTTTTGAAACTTCGTTTTTTGAGGGCTAGGTATAGTGCATTTTGTTTTATTAATGAGCAGTATTCATGTGTATACGAATATACCAAAGTTTGCTTTCTTACTGATGTACAAAAACAGTGCTTCAAGTTTTTAAATATTATGAACAAAGCTGGTATAAACTATTGAACAAGGCTTTCTATGAAAGTTTGTATTTATTCCTCTTGGGGAAAAACGTATAAATGGAATTGCTGAGTTATAGTCTAAATATATATTTACCTTTATAACAAATTGCCAAACAGCTTTTCAAAGTGGTTGTACTATTTTACATATTTGCCCAGGAAAGTGTGTTTCAGTTGCTCTATCCTTGCTAACAGTTGGTGCTCTCAGTGTTTTTCATCAAAGCCATAATAATGGCTTCTTTTTTGACCGAGTTTCGCTCTTGTTGCCCAGGCTGGAGGGCAGTGGCGCAATCTCGGCTCACCGCAACCTCGGCCTCCCGGGTTCAAGCGAGTCTACTGCCTCAGCCTTCCCGAGTAGCTGGGATTACAGGCATGCACCATCACGCCCGGCTAATTTTGTATTTTTATTAGAGACGAGGTTTCCCAATAACGGCTATGATTTACAGTGTTTACTAATTACTGTGGTGTAAGTTCTCTCACCATGGCTGATATCAAGTTACCAAGGTGGTGTCTGTGAAAATAAAGAAACAAGAGGTCTGGACAATCAGCTCTTGGCAGCTAGTGCACATTGTCTTGAGCACAGTCTGCAACTCTTAAGTAAAATTTACATAATTTTATGTATACTTCTCATTTTGACACAAAGAATAATAAAATGGCTTTGAATTAAGGATCAAGGTGTAATAAAATAAGTATTTTATTGCTTCCCCAAGGCTATTCTTAAAACACTTAAAACATGCATTTTGTTTTAGGTTTTGTGTGTGTGACAGTGAACAATACAAAAACTAATACAGCTTGCTGCCACTGCAGTGATCCATGCTAAAAGGACAGCAGTTTTATCCATCACTGCTTTTTCAGTATCTGCAAATGCCAACAAAGAAAAGAAGGCAAACACTTTAGTGTTATTATGAAAATAATTTTGACCTAACAGATCCCTTGAAAAGGTTTCCAGGACTCCTAGATGTCCATGGACCACACTTTGTCAGCCATTTATCTAGTCATACTGGAAATATTGGAAAATCATATTATCTTGGATGTAACCCATACTGAGTTATTGTGCCTTCTTACAGGTTTTCTTTTGGAAACTGAAACATTTAGAAAAGAGAAGGAAGGAGAGGGATGGTTGATGTAAAAATGAAGTCAATATAATTACACTTTGTATTTCACTATACTCTAACTTCCATAAAATTATCAGAACACTTTGTTTATTAAGTATTATTAGTAAACACAAGTGCTTAAAATGCAAAACTAATGAATCTTTACTATTTGCTTAATATCTCTTAGATTTAAAGATGGTTTCATTTGAGGTTTATAGTTTGCTAATGAATCATTGCACATACCAATGTTAAAAATGTTAAATCTGCTATCTAAATGCAAAATAAAATTAATGAGGAAAAAATGTACTTTTACTGACTATAGAGAAGCAGAATTCCTATGTAAGGAAAATGACAGCCTGAGTAATGGGACTATAAAGTTAAAAATATTAAATAAAATGCTTTTAGAGAAACATCAATTTCTGTGCAAGATGCAACCAATATATATAATGATCAAAAACTAGAGCAAAAGAAATATTAATAATTTATATGAAAGGAAATTTTCAAAGGAAATTTCTTCAGTTACATTTTATGTTATAATGTTATATTTTATATATAAAAATCTCACATTAGAAAATAAACATAATTGCTACTAAAGATAAAAGTATGATGAAATAATCTCTTTACAGTGCTAACTTATGAATCAAAGTGTAGCAGATACTTGCAAGTAAAAAAAATAAAGACTCAGAAATCATTAGGTAAGAAAGATCATCACTTACTGGGCAGAATATTATAAGATTTTTTTTAAAGTTTGTTACTCCAGTACTATCTATATCAGAACTATTTTGGGTTATGAAACAAAAAAGATAATTATTAGGATATAAAACTCAGCGGTTCAGGAAGAAAAACATTAAAGCTCAGCAGGGTAAAAACAGACAATCCAAAAACAATTAAATTATTCAATTAGGTTTGAAATAGACTTTGACTTTTAAAAGCAAGACATCTGAAATATGACCTTTATGAGGTAAGTTTCCATCTTAAAATTATCTAAAATAAAGTAATGCAAAGGGCAGTGTCCAGTAATATGCAATAGAAATAAGGTAAATTAAATAATGTAAATTAAAATGATATAACTAGGAGCTCCATGACACCATCTGTGTGTGTGTGTATATATATATATATATATATACACACACATATATATATACATATATATGTGTGTGTGTGTGTGTGTGTTTGTGTGTGTCTTCTCAAGAACCAAGTCATTAAAATTATAGGCTATGTATATTATATATTACATATATATTAATATCAGTGCTTTTCAAAAAAATGTAAAGCCTTGATGTCCAGGCAAAGAAAATAAATCAGCAAACTAAGATCTGCGTGTTAAATGCAGCTCAGCATCTGTTTTTGTATGATATGAAGGCTAAGAGTGTTTTCTACATTTGTAAATAGTTGAAGAGGAAAACAAATTAATGTTTCATAAAAAATGAAAATTATATGAAATTCAAATTTCAGAGTCCATGATAAAAGTTTTATTGGAACACAGCCATGCCCATTCATTTAGTTTTGTCTATGGCTCCTTTTGCACTGCAATAGCAAAGTTGAGTTGTTGCAACAGAGGCCAGATGGCTTGTATAGCTGAATATATTTACTATGTGTCCCTTTATAGAAAAAATTCACCAACCCCTGTTAAAAAATCAGAGATTATATTAGTATCATAATTTTTTTTAAACAATGAGTTACACTTTCATTATAAAATTGAAATAATTCTCATAGATCTTCTCCATAGCTGCTTGACTTAATGATAAAGCTGAATTATCATCTAAGTTGCTTGTGTTCCCAAAGTAGAACTGACTTAATATTAGATCATAATATTTACGAAATAGAAGTGAAATGAACACATCTTCAGCAGTTAAAATTATTATATGTTCAGGCATTGAAGAGGAATTATTTCATTTAAACCTTAGAACAACTCTAAGGCAAATCTCTGTCCCTAATGCATAGATGAAGAAACTAAGGCTCATAGAAGTCAGGCAAATAAATGGTGTCACCTGGATATGAATCCAGTTCTAATTCTAGAGCCAATGCTCAGTTTATTGAATAGATTGCATCAAGTGTGATTAGAGGGGTGTTACCAAATACTTCTTTATTGTCTGTCCCTGAAATTTCTATGAGAGGTATGTAGTTCTCTCTATTAAACATATATATATATATATATATATATATATATATAGTAAAATATACGTCTGTTACATATAGCAAAATATTTTGGCATACAAGGTAAGAATGGAGAATAAAGAACATTCAATTTTACTATTTTATGAAGTATTTACAAATTTATGTTATTTATGTTTACATTATACAGCTGAAATTTTGTGACCTGCTGGGCATTTCTTCCCATCTGAAACAATGTCTTCATTCCAAAATATTCATCATTTCTTAATTTTAAAGAACATATTTATATATCTAAAATATCATATTATATTATTTTCCAAATATTTTCAATTATATAAATGGTCTATTTTGCAGTATGAGGTTGCATTAACAAAAGGAGGAAGAGAAGGAAGACGCAGGGAGAGAAGAGGATGAGGAAAAGGATGGGGGAAGGAGGAGGAGGGTAAAGAGAAGGAAAATTTCAAGTCTCATTGGCTTACAAAACAAAAGGTTTATTGGTTACTTTAGACAAAGCCAGCTACAGGTCAGCTAGAGCTCTGCTCCTCGGGGCTTTTCAGTCCAGAACTCAGGCAGAAGGGACAGTCCTAATCAGGGATATGCCACTCTGAAGGCAAGGAGAGAAGAGCAAGAAAGTTGAAGAATTAGATTTAGATATTTGCTTGGGTATGGTGTAAGCTCACATTTCGCTGGCTAAACCACGTTACATGGCAAACTACAGTCAGTGTATGGGGCTGTACAATTCTAATTCAAGGAAAAGAATAAGTGCGGACAATAATATAGTCTACCAGGCTGCTATGTCATATATACCATTCCACATTTTGAGATAGGATATTACATTCTTTAGTAATGACCATGATGATCATTATTTCATTTACGACACGTAATTCCATTGTAAGAAGGACAACTCATTGTTCTCACTTATTGCTATTAAAATACCCACAGCTAGTAGGTTATTATACATATCTGCCTTTGTACATATGCAAGAGTATCTTTTAGATAGATATCTAAAAGTTAATGTCAGGATAAGAATTTCTGATCCCTAAAATGTGAATATCTTAAATATTACCAAACTGCTCTCCTGATTTGTTAGTGTTTCTTATTATTTATATTTTCTAGACTATTTATATAGATATTTTAATTTTAATCAATATGATGCCTATCGAATGAGACTGCTTTCTTTTCTGAGAGTTGCTTATTTCTACCCTTTCCCCATTATTTTCTTGTGCTACATGTCTTTTTCTTTTTTTCTTTTTAGAACTTTCAACATATTCTAGACACTATTGCTTTATTGTTGAGTGTCACAAATAAATGATATTTTTATTATCCTTTCATCTTATAGTTTCATTTGCTATGAAGAATTTTAAGATATTAATTTAGTCAAATTTACTAGTCTTTTCTTTTAGATATATGCATAAGAGAGCATCTTTTGAAAAAGTATTTTGTTATTCTCTTTTCAAAAACTTATATCCGATATTATATTTTGAAAGTTGTAAAGTTATACTTTATTGACTTTCCAGTTTTTAATCCATCTGAAATAAATCAGTCTGCATGTTCTGAGGTAGAAACCTAATTTTCTATTGTTCTGTATGAAGGAATAATTGCCAAACACCATTTATTAGAGTAGTCTGCCCCATTTAGAGATCAAAGTTGCATTAGCAGCATAAAATGAGTTCTGTAGATCTCCATCTTTTTTCTACTTGTTGAAGTGGTGTCTATAAAAAGTGATTATCTGATCCTTGAAAGTTTGACGAGTACTTTTAAAATCAATTTGTTAAACAAATTTTGAGTTCCAATTTAATTTAATTAATAATTTGTGACTTAGTCACATTTTCTATTTCATCTTGAGTCAGATTTGACAATTTATATATTTCTAGAAAAAGTAATCATTTTTTCTGTATTTTCAAATTTAGTAACTTAAAGTTGGTTATGGACTTTTAAAAATTATGTCATCTTCCGTCAGTTATATTCAACATTCTTTTATTCTTAATATTGAAATTAGTGTGTTATTTATTTCATTCTCTTGTGAATCTTGGTAAATGCTTATCTATTTTATAAAAATTAAGAAAACCAACTTATGTTTTATTTCAAAATTTTCTGCTCTTTATTATTTTTTCTTCTAGAACAAGATTTATTTTGTTATTTTCCTAATTTCTTTAGTGGAATATTAACTTTGTAATATCTACTAGTATTTCCACATTTATTTTTCAATAATTTAGTAGTGTATTTTTAAATTTATAGACATATTTTAATTTTTAATTTTTTAGTATGGTTAATTTCTAATTTATTTGAAATTGAATAGAAATAACTATGGTTAAAAATTGTGGTATATATGATGTCAACTATTTGAAATCTATTTAAACCATTTATATATTAAATATAATACATGGTCAATTTTTATAAGTGCTCCCTACAGTACTCAAAATGATGTATATTTTATATGTACACACACAGTAAAAATTGTTAATTTTGTTCAAATTTCTGAATGTCTAATAAATTGGTTTAATGTCAATGTTTTTATATGCTTCAAGGCAATATTATTTTATGGATAGTACAAATTTATGATAATGATTATATCTTCCTGCAGGAGCATTTATTTAATTTAAACTATTATTTCATTTTATTCCTATTCCATTTTATTTCTATTCCATTTTATGTTAAATTCTGGCTTCTCTGGTGTTAACATTGCTAAAGTTCTTTTGGTTATTATTTGGTAACAATTCTTGAGTTCATAACCAAACTCAATCATTTATTAGATAGATGACTGGGCAAATTACTTAAATATTCTATTTCTCATTTTCTTCATCTGAATTATAAGCTATAAAGACACATGCATACATATGTTTATTGTGGCACTATTCACAATAGCAAAGACATGGAACCAACCCAAATTTCCATCAATGATAGACTGGATTAAGAAAATGTAGCACATATACACCATGGAATACTATGCAGCCATAAAAAATATGAGTTCATGTCCTCTGTAGGGACATGGATGAAGCTGGAAACCATCATGCTCAGCAAACTATCACAAGGAAAAAAACCAAACACCGCGTGTTCTCACTCATAGGCGGGAATTGAACAATGAGAACACTTGGACACAGGAAGGGGAACATCACACACTGGGGCCTGTCGTGGGGTGGGGGAAGGGGGGAGGGATAGCATTAGGAGATATGCCTAATGTAAATGATGAGTTAATGGATGCAACACACCAACATGGCACATGTATACATATATAACAAACCTGCATGTTGTGCACATGTACCTTGAACTTAAAGTATAATAAAAAAAGCGAAAAAAAAGAAATATTTGTAATGTCAGAAAGTTGAGGCATGTCGAAGAATTGTCTGCGAAAGTCATGAAAGAGAAAAATGTTATAAAAAAGAATTTATGCAAAAAATGTTGTATAATTTAAAAGTAATTAGGCCTCCTGAATGTAAAACTACTGAAAAAAAAAAAAAAACAGTTTATGTACAAGGTGTATAAGAAAAGTAAAATATACCCTTGGTAAAAGGAAAAAAAAAAGAATAAAAGAGAAACTATCTCAGGGTTGTTGAGGTAACTGCTAGGTTAGTGTAGTTGTTAGTTGCAGTGCATAGGATAATGCATGGCACCTAGTTAAGTATTAATTAAATACTGGCGAAGGAAAGGCAGTATAATAATTCACAAAAGCAAGCTGAACATCCAAGTAATTGGATCGCTGAGTTGAATGGTAATTCTGTTTTAAGTTCTTTTAAAAATCTTCAAACTGCTTTCCACAGTGGCTGAACTAACATACATTCCCACCAATAGAGTAGAAGCATTCTCTTTTCTCTGCCGCCTCGCCACCATCTGTTGTTTTTGACTTTTTAATAGCCATTCAGACTGGTATGAGATAGTATCTCATTGTGGTTTTGATTTACATTTCTCTGAAGATTAGTGATGTTGAGCATTTTTTCAAGTGTTTGTTGGCCACTTATTTTGAGAAGTGTCTGTTCATGTCTTTTGCACGTTTTCAATGGGGCTATTCGTGCCTTGTTTGTTGAATTGTTTTAAGTTCCTTATAGATTCTAGATATTAGACCTTTGTGAAATGCATAGCTTGTGAATATTTTCTCCCATCTGTAGGTTGTCTGTCCACTCTGGTGATAGTTTCTTTTGCTATTCAGTTCTTTAGTTTAATTAGGTGTCACTTGTTAATTTTTGTTTTTGTTGCAATTGCTTTTGGGGACTTAGCCATAAGTTCTTTGCCATGCCAATGTACAGAAGAGTATTTCTTAGGTTTTCATCCATGATTTTTATAGTTTTTAAGTTTTATTCCTATTATCTGACTTTGAATTTTTTTAATCGTTTTTTTATTGTTTGTAAGTTTTTGCCCCTATCCTCTGCCCTCTGTTATATTTGACTTTCTATATTCTCTATATTTCATCGGATAGGTTGGAGCCATACATAGTCTTTCTATTACTTAATCTTAAATTGACTAATATCTTAAAACTATTAAATTTAATATTATCTATTAACATTTATCTAAACATTTCTGTATAAACTGATAATTATTATTTCTATATTCATCTGTATAAGAGATAGCTTATTTTGACTATTTTCTTTTCTTTTTTTTTTCTTGAGATGGCGTCTTGCTCTGTCACCCAGGCTGGAGTGCAGTGGCGCGATCTCGCCCCACTGCAAGCTCTGCCTCCCGGGTTCAAGCCATTCTCCTGCCTCAGCCTCCACAGTAGCTGGGACTACAAGCGCCGGCCACCATGCCCGGCTAATTTTTTGTGTTTTTTTTTTTTTTTTTTTTTTTTTTTTAGTAGAGACGGGGTTTCACTGTGTTAGTCAGGAAGGTCTCAATCTCCGGGTCTTGTGATCCCCCCGCCTCGGCCTGCCAAAGTGCTGGGATTACAGGCGTGAGCCCCTGTGCCCGGCCTATTTTGACTATTTTCTAACCGTGGCGGTAGTGGTGTTACAGTTCAAAGGGGTGCTCTGTGTGTTAAGGTCTTTATATTTGCATATTGTAAACAGTCTGTATTTCTCCTGAATGAAAGATTGGCTAAGCATAAAACCCTGTATTGGCTGTTATTATCAATTGTTTGCAATATCCATTGGTGTCCATTACAGGCATGCTGCTTCTCTAGTAATTGTTAATTATTTTCTCTCTGAAAGGTTGGCTATTTATTTTGCAGGGTATCCACCAATTTCACTCTAATGTTTCTATGTTTAAAATGTATCCTGATCAAAATTACAAGTACGCTTTCAGTCTGAGGTTGATAAACATTCTTAATTACATAAAATTCTTATCAATTATATAATTCAATATTGTATTTTCCCAATCCACTTCCTTATCTCATTCTGAAAGTGCTTTTAGATATGTGGTAGAACTTCTTAATCTATCCTCTTAATTTCTCCTTAATTAAAAAAATATATTTTTTGGCTTACAATGGGAGATTCTTTATGAGTTCCTCAGTGTTAGCTTCCAATTTACTAAATTTCCCCTTTGAGTCCAAGGAAAATCAGTTTGTCCATTTTATCTTCTTAGAAAATTCTAATTCTTTCATCTGAGAAAAAAATCACTTCTTTTAATTTTTAAATTTGTCTGTTCAGTTTCAAAATCTTTTTTATTTTGTATTAGAAGTTATATCTCATTTGTCATTTGAGAATGTTTGTCATATAATTCAATAAATTTACTGTCATCTGAAGAGAATTCATGTTTTAATTATTGGTTTTGGCATATGTTTCTTAAGAGAAGATTTATGTTTTATGTTTCTTAGGAAAAGATTAATTGATACATTTTGAAAGGTAGATTTTAATGCTAATTTTGTGAGGCTCAGTATTTGTTACCATTGTTTGTTCTTTTCTCTTTCTCTGGATTTTGGTAACTAGGAAATCAGCAAAGATTGGCAGTAGTGGTGTTTGTTTGATTTTTATTTCTTTTCTTTTTTTTTTAATGTGAGATGGCACCATAGTCTGGCTCAATATTTTCTTATACCAACCACATTTCCCCTTGCCCACCCCACTTACCTGGCAAAAGATAAGCTCACAGTCATCACTGTCTGCTCCCACAGGCAGAGCTCAGCTGCATTTTCTGCTTTTGATTTTTGTTCTGTCCATAATTAACAAATATTTTTGTTGTATATAAGCCCAGCCAGTGTTTTTTGGTTTCTTTTTTTGTAATATTTTATTACTGTTATGTGTTCTGAGGAAAATTAATTATTGGAACATAAACTCGCTATTGCCATTATGGCCTGGAAATCAGCATAAACACAACTGCTAATTCATACATCTTTTGAGGATATTTAGTCAGCAAAACTCAATTTGTTGGTGAATTGAGCAGCCAAGATTTGTGGCCATTTCCTCAGCATGTGCTATAAGACTATGCTTGGAAAAATAAAGTTATGAAAGAAAATAGATTAATTTGGGTCCCAGTAATCCCAGCACATAGTAGTATCTAAAATTACCTTGTTCATTATCTGATATTGGAGAGGTGAATAAATATTACTTGGAAACAAAATATTTGAAAGAAATACACCTTTTAGAATAGTATTTGAAGTTGGGGAAGAGCTAATTTACCAGATGGTACCATTATACTCTCAAAGAGTTCATTTGCCTTAAATTGATTATTTCTTTAACACTTTTATTCTAATTAACAATAAAATTGAGACTTCTTTGCTTGGCTGAACCATGTGAAAAAGAACATTTGCTGAATTTTACAATGACTTGTCATGAAGAACAGAGAAAGTGGCAGTGGCTGAGCAATGTAGAAGTATTCCTAAAATGATTTGTACATTGGCATTTCCCTTTTTTTCTTTGTAGACATTTTTTTTTTGGCGGGGGGACAGGGTTTTGCTCTTTTTCCAGGCTGGAGTGCAGTAGCGTGTTCTCTGCTCACTGCAACCTCCGCCTCCTTGGGTTCAAGCGATTCTCCTGCCTAAGCCTCCCGAGTAGCTGGGATTACAGGCGCCTGCCACCATGTTGGGCTAAATTTTGTGTTTTTAGTAGAGACAGGGTTTCACTGTGTTGGCCAGGCTAATCTCAAACTCCGGACTTCAGGTGATCCACCCGCCTGGGCCTCCCAAAGTGTTGGGATTACAGTTGTGAGCCCCCGTGCCCGGCCCTCTGTAGACATTAATTCCCCAAGGACATTCTCCCATTGGGCCCCGAGGTTATATGTTCGCAAATTTGCTGTGGAGCAAGTTCTGTTTAAGACTGAAAAAATCAGTGAGCTCTACCTTATAAGTCAGTCTTCTAGTGGAGCCTCAATCAGTGTGGTATACAGCTCTGAAAGTGTAGGTGCATTTAGAATAATTTGGCAATCTCAGAATAAATGATAAAATGCCTTTGCATCAAAGCCAAGTACTTTCATCTTGATGTTCTTATTCATCATTTTAGTGAGTTTTGTAAACTACAATTCTTAATATGTTTATAATTATTGGTTCATCTACAAATAAGACACGATAAAATAAGACACAATAAAGAATGGTAAGAGAACATGAAATGTACTAAAGAGAAGTACAATAGAAAAAGAAAAAAAAAGTATGGCAGGAAAGGGCCAAAACAATAAATAAGTATAATAAAATTATTAAGACTGAAAAAATGACTGAGCTGTACCTCATAAGTCAGTCTTCTAGTGAAGCCTCAATCAGTGTGGTATGCTCTGAAACTGTAGCTGCATTTATAATAATTTCACCCAGAAAATTTCCACAAAATGGAAAATATTAAGAAAAAAACATTCAGACTGCTTCAGATCTTGGGGTGCACAGAGTCAGGTATAGAACAACTCCAAAGTCCGTTTTCTAATTCCAAGCCATCTTTGGTCATTCATCCCCTTTATTTTGAAACGAAAATATTGGAAAGTAGTGGTGTGGAAACTTTACAACAGATAGGGACAGAAACATGGTCAGAGAGATAAAGCCATTAAGATCATCTAAACTGTAAACTCATTTTTGTCAGAAATTGTGGCATCTTACTCATCTTTGTGTTTCATAATCTAATGGTTATTTAACACACAGAAAGTGTTCAATAAATATCTGTAAATGAATGCTGATGAGGAATAGAGAGAAGAAAAGTGAAAAGAACTGAAGCTTGAAGAATAGGGATGAGATATCCAAAAGAAGAGGCAAGGAGTAACTCATTGGGTACAGATAGAGATACATAGATATAGATGATATAGCTATAGATAGATATGAAACAGAAGAGAGTGGCAAGTAAGACTATGGAAAATATTGAAATTAAGCTATATTGGTGTATATCTTAGTTAAAGATGGTACATTAGTATAATGGGTAGCTTCCTGAATAATAGGAAAAAAGCCAAATGTGAAGCAAGGCACAATACAAAACCCTAACAGATACGAGAATAATGTATTTGCTTTCATTCAAATTTGCTAACGTCTATTATAAAAAATCAATATTTGATGTAAGTTTATGAAATCCAGCATTTAAACAAATCTAAAGGGAAAAGTTAATCTTAAACTGTTGATACCTGCAAAAGAAAAAGGAGTTATTTTTAATGCAGTTTTTACCAAACTTGACCAGAATCAGCTAGTTCCATTTTTTTAATGTAGATTCCTAGGCCCTACCCCTTGTGAGTGTGATTACTGAGTAGATAATCATATAATAATAACGGTATATCTAACTAGAACTTCTGATGATTAGTCACCTTTGAAAAACAAATATAATAAATTTTATCTTGACAGGCACGAGGGGCAAGATGAGTTCTGCTAGCAAGTGGCATTTATTGTAAAAAAAACATTCTTGAGCACTGCTTTTCAAAACCCCAAGTCACAGCTTGAAGATAATCTAGGTCAAGACAACTCTCATTTAATTTTTCACAGTCAATATTATGTGAATGAAGTTTTTGCCAGTCATTAACTCAAGACAAATATAAAATTCTGAAACATGCCCTCCTAGGCAACAGCTTATGGAAAAAGACAACACGAAGTCTAATATTCAAAAGGTCTTTAGTCCATGTATTATAATCTTACATTTATGTTTTATAAATATTTTTCTCCGTCATGTTGTTGTAGAAGAATCTTGACTCAGACTACATGTGTGCATGAACACTGTGAACTTTGATTTCAGTAGAAACTGACCAATCTCCCTGGTGGATCCATTAACTGAAAAACAGTTTTTAAGAAGTTAAACTTAACTTTTAAGTTTTGGTTGGCCCAGCCAAGTAATATGTTGCAGATTTTGCTGACTGTTTGTTATTTTGGTTTAATTATGAAGTTATTTTCACTATAATTATATTCTTTGAAATCACTGATTCAAGAACCTTTCAATATTGAAAGGAAAATTAATCACCTACATGAAACTATAGAAGTTTTTAGATTACCTAAAGGAAATTGGAATATCATTTTAGATGCACAAGGATAAATGGTTCTAATAATTATGAAAATTTTTAAAAATTATTTGGCTCTACAGGTTAATCACCTATAAGCAGTCCAAAATTTAAATTAGGACCACTTCTACTCATCACAAAACATGTGACACTTTGAGGATTATTCACAGAATAATTACTTCTAATATTTTAAGAGATCATATACTCTATTTTGATGGCTTGCTTCCTCAGTGTAGTGACCTTGGGTGTACATTTATCAACTTTTATGTGGTCATATCTTAAAGTTATATGCTTTATCATCCCTGAGTATTTATATTGTGTAATTATGGAGATTATCAATAGTTTTTACAGTATGATGGATCCAAGTTCTTAGAGTGTAAAACTTTGAACCTTTAACTTTACATTTTATTTCTATTATTTGACATCAGTGAAAGAAAAATGAGGCTTTTGAAAGGAATTCATTATAAATATCTCTTCTTGTTACAGTTATTCCACTTAACTGTTTCCACTATATCAAAGGACAAGCAAGAATTATCATTTGTAGGATTTTGAAAACCATAAAATATATTCTGGGAAACTTGATCATTTTTCAGTAACTGAACTAGAACTACCACAGACATTTAATATGTTCAATAAAAGTTCAGATAAAATGAAAGCACTACCATAGTAATATATAACTAGAAACTAACATTTCAATGACTTCTTCAAGTACTGAATATAACATCAATTGCAGAAAAACGATCTTAACAGCTCATCAGGCAGCTAGAAAAGGGAAATTTCCAAAATAATCTTGTACATTATTCTCAGGTATTAGGTTATTAATAAAATGACAAGCCCTTCTCAGGTTGTAAAAGATATAGAGAATGATTTATAAAAATAGGGTTATTTAGGTTGCAATGACTTAGAATCACGATTTAGTATCACTTTTCTGAGAACATTCTACAAAGTTACTCCTTTAAAGGCAGGCTATCACTACATGTTTTAGAGTTTTAAGCATACTTGTATGCGAACTTAATTATATATTCAATTACATTTTAGAGAGATGTTTCTTTTTTAAAAAGTAATTCAAATGATGAGGACTAATTTAACAAAAATTAAAGCACACTCTGTATTATGGTAAAATACATTTTTATAAACTGTTAAATTTCAATTTTATATACCTAAAATTTAGACATTATAATAGTGTTTTGTAATCTATTATTGCAACCTTTTAGATTTTATACTAATAAACATGTAGAATTTCAATCCATATGGTTTCCCAGGCATGTCTTATACAGAGTTTTGAAAATACTCTGAATCCTTAAATATTGTACATGCACACACACACACACACAACACACACACACTTAACTTTCCTCACTTTACAGAAGTTGGCAAGGGAACCATTTAAAGCCAAATAGTACACACTCCTTTACTTGTATTGGAGATACACAAAACAAGTGAGGCCAACAAAAGAAATTTCCACAGTTTGTCACAAAACAATAAGCCCTATTTTTTTCTATGTTTTTTTGTTAAAAAAATTCTAAAAAATAAAATTATTCTCACCTTTAAGGGATTTAAATATTGTAGAGGGTAAAAGTTTATATCTGTGTTTGTGTAGTCACTAAAATAGTTCGTATTCTGTAAAATAAAATCATAAAATAGTTGTATTATAAAGGGATTGCTAAAAAGACAAATCAGTGACATTTTGCACATTCTAAATTTTTAGGAATGGTTACTATACAGAAAATTCCCATATCTTGCTCTCAAAATTTTTCTAGTGATCTCTAAATTTCTATTTAACATTATTCCAACTGATATTCATTTGAAGAGCTGGCTTTATAAGTTAGTTTCTCCAACAAATACCATTCTGACTCTGTCTTGGAGTCATGGATGCATAACCTCAAGTTGGCCCATGTTCCCAGAGAATGACCTAGTTATCGGATGAGGAAATAGGGCATTTTCATACACTTTTAGTGGGTTTAGAAAAAGGTTCTACTTCCTCGAATGGTACCTTGCAACTTCTATCAAAATTAGAAATATACTCTTTGAACAAGCAATTCCATACTTAGGAATTCATCCAAATATTAAAATTGTACCTATTCTCAACATGCATGTCTGAGAATGTTTTATTCTATTACATTATAACAGCAAAAGGTCAATTAAAACAACTGAAATGTATTAATAGCAAGGGACTGGTTACATAAATTATAGTTATCCTTACAATAAAATAACATGTATCTTTTTTTAAAAAAGGAGAAAGTATATGTTGTGATATGGAGAGTTTTTGGCATAATCTATTAAGTGAAAAAGCAATTTTTACCAAAATGACATTGATTAGGTAAAAAAATATATATTTACTTATGTGATTATATTAAATTTCTGGAGAGATAAATAGGGAAGGTTACACCTGCCTATCTTTGAGACAGAAGCTTCAGATAATTTACCATTCTACATTTTTCAAAGCATATGATTTACTTTGAAAATGTTTTATCTAAAAGGTAACTTGAAATCTTTAGATAAAAATCTTCAATCAACCTTTACCTGTTCAACCCAGATGAGCACTTATCTTTCAGACAACTTACCTGAAAAGACATTAGTAGCTTTATAATTGGTACTGAAGTCTATAATGCTATTTTAATGACAATTTAATGTCCGTCAACAGGCCCATTGTTTTCAATAGCATAGTAAAAAATCTCATATTCTGACTACCACTTTATCTTATTTTTTCTATTCCAAGCTGTCAGTGCTTCTACTCCTTACTAATTCAGGAAGAGATTTCCAAATCCTTAATTTAAAAAAATTATCCTCATTAACACCCGCTACAAAACAAACAGAAAGTGCACGCAGATTTATGACCAAAGGGTAGTCTAAATTCTCAAATTCTCACTGCCTTACTACATTTTTATGCATTCTAACCTTCTAATGATTTTTTTGTAAAAATAGATAATGTACAGTAAATTACTTGATCTAAGCAGCAATTAAAAATATTCACATGATTTTCATTTTCAACAATAAAATTACATAAGAATTTGGGATTGTGTTGGCAATCCTGTGAAATCAGATGACTTGCTTTGGAGATACAGTGCCTAAAAATATAATTTGAAATTTACAAATGGCTTTGATACCCCGGAAAATATCTCACTTCTGAATCTTCGTGTTTATACTCTGTGTTAAAAATGCTATGCTAGTTTTCTTTTTTACTTGTTGATGTTTATTTGTGGCTCCTTAGGTATTCTGTCATTCAGTGTTTACAGCAAATAAACAAAGTCAGTAATGTCATTCCTAAATGTCCAAGTAGAGAACTTTTGCTTAGAAAACATAAATGAATTACTCCACATGCCAATTTTTCCGACCTAACTCACCTTTCATTTCTAAACCACTTTTACCTTTTTTTTTTTGTTTTTCACATGAATATCTTTTATTACTTTTTCTTATCTGGTTAGTCTGGCTAAGACTTCCAGTACTATGTTGAACAGAAGTGGTGAAAGTGGGCACCTTTGTTTTGTTGGTGGTCTTTGATGGAATGTTTTAGGCTTTTCACCATTGATTATAATGTTAGCTATCGACTTGTTGTATATGGCCTTTACTATATTAAGGTATATGCCTTATGTTAGTAATTTATTGAGAATTTTTAATCATTTTTTTATTATACTTTAAGTTTTAGGGTACATGTGCACATTGTGCAGGTTAGTTACATATGTATACATGTGCCATGCTGGTGCGCTAATCACAAAGAATGTTGAATTTTGTTGAATGATTTTTTTTGAATCTATTGAGATAATCATAAAATTTTTATCTTTAATTCTGTTGCTGTGTTGTATTACATTTATTGATTTAACATATGTGAAATATCCTTGCATCGCAGGGAAAAAAAAAGTGTCTGTTGGTCATGGTATGTGATTGTTTTGATGTGCTTCTGAATTGGGTTTGCTGGTATTTTGTTGAGAAATTTTGCATCTATGTTCATCAGGAATATTGGCCTGTGATTTTCTTGTCTTGTAGTGTCCTTATCTGGCTTTGGTTTGAGAGTAATCCAGGCCTCCTAAAATGAGTTTGGAAGTGTTCTCCCTCCTCTTCAATTTCCTGAAAGAGTTTGCGAATTGCTACTAATTCTTTAAATGCTTGGTAGATTTCACCCGTGAAGCCATCTGTTCTTGGCTTTTCTTTGTTGGCAGGTTTTAGAAGTTAAATTGTCTCTGTTTGCAGAAGACATGCAGATGATGTTATACATAGAAGACTCTGCAGAATCTGCAAAATATTGTTACAACTAACTTATCAGTAAAGTTGCAGAATACAAAACTAACATACAAAAATCCATTGAGTTTATATACTTCAACCAAAGACTATCCAAAAAAGGAATTAAGAAAACAATTCCATTTACAATGGCATCAAAAAGAATAAGATACATAGAAATAAATTTAACCAAGGAGATGAAAGATTAGTACAATTAAAACTATAAGGTACTAATAAAATAAATTGAGGAAGACATAAATAAAAGGAAAAATATCCTGTGTTCATCAAGCAAAAGAATTATGTTAAACATCCATACTACCCAAAGTAATTTACAGATTCAGTGCAATCCTGCTATGGTTTTAATAAGTTTGTCCCCTCCAAAACTCATGTTGAAACTTAGTCTCCATTGTAACAGAACTAAGAGGATGGGAAATTTGACTATGCTTTTTGAGAAGTGGAACCTTTGGTAGGTAACTAGGATTAGATGACAAAATGAGAGTGGAGCATTAGTATCTTTATATGAGAAGAAAGAGACACCTGCATTAGCAAACTCAGCTCCTCTTGCCCTGTGATGTCTTTTGTCATGTTATGAAACGGCACAAGGCCCTCACCAGAAGCCAACCAAATGCAGCCACTTGATCTTGGACATCCTAGCCTCCAGAACTGCAAGAAATAAACCTCTTTTCTGTATAAATTACCCAATCTCAGGTATTCTGTTATAACCACAGAAAATGGACTAAAATAAATACCTATCAAAATAACAATGACATTTTTCTCAGAAATAGAAAAAACAATTCTAAAATTTATATGGAAACACAAAAGACCCCAAATAGCCAAAGCGATTGTTTAGTCTATTATCACACTGTTATAAAGAACTACCTGAGACTGGGTAATTTATAAAGAAAAGATTTAGTTGACTCACAGTTCCACATGGATGGGGGGACCTCAGGAAACTTACAATCATGGCAGAAGGGGAAGGGGAAGCAAGGCACATTTTACCATGACAAAGCAGAAGAAAGAGAGAGAGAGACAAGGGGGAAACGCCACACTTTTAAACTATGAGATCTCATGAGAACTCACTGTCACGAGAACACCAAGGGGGAAATCCACCCTCATGATCCAATCACCTCCTACCAGGCCTCTACCCTGACACATGGGGATTACAATTTGACATGAGATTTGTGTAGGGACACAGAGCCAAACCATACCAGCAATCTTTTTGTTTGTTTGACAGAGTCTCACTCTGTCATTCAGGCTGGAGTGCTGTGGTGTGATCACAGCTCACTGCAGCCTCAAACTCCAGGGCTCAGGTGATCCTCCCACCTCAGCCTCCTCAGTAGCTGGGAATACAGGTGTATGCCACCACACTTGGCTATTTCTTTTGTAATTTGTGTAGAGACAGGGTTTCACAATGTTTCCAGGCTGGTCCCAAACTGCTGGACTCAAACAAGTCTCCTGCCTCAGCATCCCAAAGTGCTGGGATTGCCGATGTAAACCACCAGTATTAGCCCTAAAGCAGTCTTGAGAAAGAAGAACAAAGCTGGAAGAATCACACTTTCTGATTTCAAGATACATTACAAAGCTACAGTAATCAAGACAGTATGGTACTGGTTTAAAAAAAAAATACATATAGACCATAATAGAGAGCCCAGACAACACACCCTGGCAAATACAGTCAACCCCTCTTTGATAAGGATGTCAAGAATACACAATAGGGAAAGTATAGCCTACTTAATAACTGATGTCAAGAAAACCACATATCCACATGCAAAATAATGACATTGTACCCTTATCTTACACCATATACAAAAATCAACTTAAAGTGGATTAAAGACTTACATGTAATAACTCAAATGTAAAACTCCTAGAAAAAAAAATAGGGAAAATCCTCATTGATATCAGTCTTGGCAATTATTTTTTCAGCTATGACACCAAAAACATTGGCAGCAAAAGCAAAAATAAATGAGTGGTGCTTCATTAAACTTAAAAAACTTCTACTCAGCAAAGAAAACAATCAATGAAATTAAAAGCAACCTATTGAATGAAAGCAAATATTTGCAAACCACATACCTGATAAGACATTAATATCCAAAATATATAAAAAACATACAAATCAATAACAATAAATAAATAAATAAACCAAGTTAAAAATGAACAAAGGACCTGAATAGACATTTTTCTCAAAGAAGGCATACAAATGGCTAACAGATACATGAAGAGGTCCTCAATATCACTAATCATCAGGGAAATACAAATCATAACCTAAATGAGATATAACCTCACTGCTGTTAACAATGGCTATTTTCAGAAAAAAAATGAAAGATAGCAAGTGTAAATTAGTACAGCCATTATGGAAACAGCATGGAGATGCCTCAAAAAGTTACAAGTAGAACTACCATATAATCCAACAATTCAATCTTATGAGCATATATCCAAAGGAAATGGAATCAGTATCTTGAAAAGATATTTGTACCCATATGTTCTTTATAACGTTATTTACAGTAAGAGAAAGACATACACTGTTTGATTTTAACTAATTTAAGTTGGAGTCACAAGCTATTAGACACTCTAATATGTCAATTTCTCATAAACATCATCAATATTACAAATATATGCATTATTTTCCTTTAACTTAACCCCCAAACATAATTTTTGGTGTGCCATTGTCTCTATTTCTAACTTTCCTAAAGTTTTCATGGATGAATGTAAGGCATGAATCTGTAAATTAAACAATAACATTGCACAAAGGTAGTGTCCCAGCCTTAGTGTTCTGAATGTGCATATTGATCAAATATATCTTTGATCAGGACATGAAATAGATTCATACCAAAGCTAGTGGTAGACCAAACTGAATACTGCTTATGATTCTATAACAGGAAACCCATAATTCACAAAGTGTCTTATCCCTTAACATCTCCTGTTTTTAAGTTACATGACTGAATTATTAAAATTAGTTGGAGTATTTCACCTTGCCCCCCAACTATTTGCCAATTTATTTTACTGTTTTACTGAATTTACCTTCCTTAGCTCATCTTAAGACATTTTAATATATTCTCAACTGCCACTAAGAGTAAGTTAAAGACATTCTATGATATTCCTCTAAAAAAATTCTAATTTTGTCCTTGAAGTTAAGCAGCATGATTGTTTCCTTTTCAAATTGCTTCCAGTCTGGTAGGGCCACAGTTCTTATAGATATTAAAATGAAATATAATTGAAGTGCAAATATCCTTTATTGTATTTATTTGGTTCTAATACCACAACACTAAGAATAAACTAATGAGCGATGAAACCATTTGGGATTTACTGACCTCTTTGGAAATATGATGAAACACTGGATTGTGTCCCCATAACAATGTATATGCAGATACACAATGTTTTACATATTGTTTCAAAGACTATGTGAAACTCTTCTATACACTTCATTACAGTGGTTCTCCAAGCATGATGCTGGACCAGCGCTTCAGGACATCTTGTTAGAAATTCTGTCTTGGGCCCTGTTCCAGATCTACTGAAACAGAAACTCTTGGGGGTAGAGACCAGCAAGTTGTTATATAACAAACTTTCGGGGTGCTTCTGATAAATGCCAAGGTTTGAGAACTATTGTAGAGGGCCAAAATCTAAGTCTTGTATGTCTGAATTAGATCTTAAAGTATTTTTATTCTTTTCTCTTTAGAAGATCCAATGATATCTGACAAAGAATGGTAAAGTAATGATTGCGGTTGTTTAATTCATTAAGAAGAGAACAATTAAATCGACTATAAATTAAATTTGTGAAATTATTAATAACAAGACTATGTAAAACATTTTTTCTGCTCTTTTTTACCTCTTCATTCAGACTTCTAAATCATAATTCCATTACAGGGAAAAGAAAAAGAAAGAATATCAGTAAAACAAATGGTCTGGCCTGTGTTCTATATCAAAGAATTTGAGTTTATTTGGTAAGTATACTTAGGTAGGAGAACAGGATAATTGTAGGAGCTTAGGAGAGCACCATTAGGATATGCTAGTTATATTATATGAAGGATAACTAATTTTATATTTCAAAATAAATCTTATGAACTGATGTATGAAAAATGATATGCCACATTATTAATCGGCCTAGTAACTTCAGGCAGAAAAGAAAAACTTCCATTTTTGTTTCCTAGTGACTGTCTGAATAGAAAAGTGACTATATAAATCACTGAAAACAAAACTGATAGTTTTAAAAGATATACCTAACCAGAATATGTTGCTGATTAATAAAGTATGATGGGGCAGGAGGTGGAGGACAAAGAGAAGAGAAGAACATTTATAGAGAATCTTGGGGAATGACCTTACTTTATTCTCTTCCTTTTCCCAAATTACCTTCCACCCAGTCAAGGTTGGAGAAAAGCAGCTTCCTGCATGCCTAACCCTCAAGTCGGGTAACCTGAGAATCAGGAGAATTTGGAATTTCTGTTTTTGACTTTAGTTTGATAAGCAGCAGCAACCTCTTAAATATTAAGAAGCCAGTGGAATATGTCGTGACATATCCAAAGGGAAGATCAGGAGAGTATGTTCATAGATATACTGTGTCTCACCACAAGCACCCTGAGTTCCCTGTTTGGCAAAGAATATGCTGCAATAGTAATTTGACAGTGCAAGTTGACTTGCTGGCCACTGCCTCCAGTACTACAAAGAGGTCAATTGTCAAAAAAAGGGAGCTTTATCATCAGAGACTGTGGGATGAACTTCCTATATGAAGGAAAAGAAGCAGTGGCTGCTTGGTAGTAACTACTTCGAATGAGCACCTGGCCAGAATAAGGATATATCCACGCTGACCACCTTGACAGGGTAGCTGTGAGGATGAACTCAGAGAAAATGTTGAACAAAAACTGAAAAAAAAAGTGGTTTAAAGAAATCCCTATTTTCTAACTAACTTTTTCCAACAAATATGTATGGAGCATTTACTACACATATCATGTATTCATAGCACAAGCATGATATGCCCACTCGGTAACCAAGAAATGGAAATACAAAGCCCTGTGAATTATTACTTTTAGATATTACAGAGGAATTAATAGATCATTTATCTCAGGGTCAGTGAGATCTCATGAAATACAGCCAATTAAGAAGTAAAAGATGGGCCGGGAGCGGTGGCTCATGCTTGTAATCCCAGCACTTTGGGAGGCCAAGGTGGGTGGATCATGAGGTCAGGAGATTGAGACCATCCTGGGTGACATGGTGAAACCCCGTATCTACTAAAAATACAAAAAATTAGCCGGGTGTGGTGGTGGGCCCCTGTAGTCCCAGCGACTCAGGAGGCTGAGGCAGGAGAATGGCGTGAACCCGGGAGGTGGAGGTTGCAGTGAGCTGAGATCGCGCCACTGCACTCCAGCCTGGGCGACAGAGCAAGACTCCATCTCAAAAAAAAAAAAAAAAAAGTAAAATATGGCAAGGCAACGTTTGCTTCTATGGTTTGAAAGTTCATTCCCTTCAAAACTCATGTTGAAATGTACTTGCCATTGTTAATGGTGTTGAAAGGTGGGAACTTTAAGAGGTTATTGGGCTGTGAGGGCTTCACCTTCATAGGTGGGATTACTGCCATTATAGAAGGGCTAGTTCGGCCTCTTTTTTTCTCTTGGTTCTTCTGCTCTTCTGCCTTGTGAGAAGCAATGTGGCATTTAAGGCATCATCTTGGGAGCAGTGACCAGGCCCTCACCAAGCAAGTGTTAAACCTACCGGCATCTTGATATTAGACTTCCCAGCTTCCAGTACTGTGAGCCAAGAAATTTTTATTTGTTATCAACTACCAAGTCCATGATATTCTGTTACAACAGCACAAATGGACTAAGATATTTACCTTTCCTGAGAGATGCTTTATGACTTACAGTATTTATATGTTAAAAAACAACAATAAAAACAAAACCCACACGTTAGAATATTCTTTTAAAAAACTCAGATACTTAATTTTATACCATGCCTCTAATTATATTGTGATTTTTAGAGTAATTTTAAGTTAATTTTGCATAAAATGTTTAAAATATCAAATATATTTATTGCTTACAATAACAGTCCAAGTACATAGACATAAAAATATTTTAAAGCTAAGATATATTATACATTTGAAAAGTTGTTTATTCTAGCTATATACACAATATACATACAGTTACGTATGTTTACATTTTTGCATACTTAGGTAGCCTCTTTTCCACTGGCCACTTCTAGCAAATGGCTCATCAATTTCTGTTTCCCTTCCATTACAAAAAATGTCTCTTCCATGGACATTCACTTACATGTACCTGGGATATAACAATAAAACCTTTTAGCTTTTCAGCTTTTCCACCCATTTCATGTTCTAGTTTCTCATATAACTAATCAACACAGTTGTCGGAGTAAACAACCTGTGTTTTTCAAAGTTCCGCAACGCTAAATAATTGTTTTCCTCCTTAAGCCTTTTATTTCACCTCAACTTTATATAATTAATATTTTTGCTCTTCATGCTAGTTGCATTCAAACCAAGTTCCCACTATTCAGGGTATTTAATACAGATTATGTATTTCCAGTTCTAGAAATGAAGATCATCTTAATATGCTCAAGGGAGTTTTGGTCTAATCTGGACTTTTCTTCCAGATGCTGTGGACATTTACCGTACCCTCAACAACTATCTAGTCTAACCAGATCTGGCCGTCATTAGATTGGCCCAGTATTTCCCACATATTTGACTGGATTGTTCATCTTTCACTTTAAGCACACTCTTTATCAATGAGTGTAACTGCTGGCTTTGCTTACTTTTGCAATTCGGTGGGCTGAATAACAAGTTATCTAATAATTTATCTATCTCTCTCTGTGTCTGTTTCTGTCTCCTTACTACCCTGCCTGTATATTCTACATTCTGTATCACACTGAGATGGTGTGGTAGTGGTATATGGTGTAACTGTGCGAATGTGTGAGAGTAAGAAGTGCACTGGGGGCAGAGTTTTAGGCAGATATTCTTTTGGAAAGCATCTCTCTCCTCTTATTTCATGTCAAAGCTGAAAATGAATTCTCCATTGGATAGAAACACAGACACTTCTGAATATTGAAACTAGTAACTGCCAAGCTCTAAAAGCTATAATATTTCTATTTAAAATTTTTCATGACTAATTTTGTTTAAGCTAAAATAACCTTATCAGTGGATGGCAGCTCTGATTCTAAAACTGTGATTGTCATCAGAAGAACTTTACATAAATATAATAAATACATGCGTCCCAACACAAACCTAATTAATCATAATCTCTGTGAGATGATTCTCAGGAATCTCTGCATTTGAAAACCCTTATTTATCAGAAATAACCAAGTTTGAAATTCTCTAGTGAAAATTATATTGAAATGGTGTTGACTCTTAGTTTATTATGGGTAAAATATGTTTGAACTTATATTTATAGAATATTAATTATATTTTGTCCTTTGTTATACCATCTCTCCAATTATACTGTGATACTTTTAGAGTAAGATTTAGCTCACCCAGGCAGGAATCCAGTGGCACAATCTCAGCTCACTGTAACCTCCGCCTCCCAGGTTCAAGCAATTCTCCTGCCTCTGCCTCAGCATCCTGAGTAGCTGGGATTACAGGCATGTGCCACCACACCTGGCTAATTTTGTATTTTTAGTAGAGACACGGTTTCACCATGTTATTCAGGTTGGTCTCGATGGTCTCAAACTCCTGACCTTAGGTGATCCACCCCCTTCAGGTTCTCTAAGTGCTGGGATTACAGGCATGAGCCACTGTGCTCGGCCTGTACATGCTTTCTAAAAGTTTTAAGAATGCAACTTTTCATTTCCTAGGTTCACTGGTAAGGTTTACTCTTACTTGGCAGTGCGGTTTCCGGGTGGAAATTAAGAAACTTCAGTGTGTTTCATTATTCTCTCTGTCCAAATATTCTGAAAAATAATCAAAGTAACTGCCTGAAATTATTCAAGTTTGTTGATAAATCTTTATAAGCCAAAGTAGGCAGGTTGTGAAGTTTTTTTTCTAGTCATGCCACATCCCACTTATAATAAAGTATTATGCAATGATTCACAAGGCTGGTTGATCCTTTTCCTGGTTTCACCAGACAAGCACCTTACTATACTCACCTGAAGAATGGCAACAGCTTCCTAAATCATGACCCTTACTCAATTTTGATCTCAAGTCAATGTCCCACACAGCACCAAGGTGATCTACAAAAATTTAAAATTAAAAAAAGCACGTAATATAAATCTAAATCAGATTATATCACTCACTTTCTTTAAACTCTCCAATGATTTCCCATTTGAATTAAAGAAAATTACAACTTCTTAGCACAGCCAATGGAATCCCAAATTATCTGGTCCCTGACTTTATCTTACACCACTACCTTCTCACTCACTCTGCTCCCACAACAAAGGCCTTTTTTTTTTGGCTCTTAAAATTATCCTGTAGATCCAAAACTATGTAATTCCAAGAAGAAAAGGTAAGGGAAAATATTTATGATATTGGTTTGGCAATTATTTCTTTGATGTGACATCAAAGTTCAGGCAATAAAAGAAAAAGTAGACAAGTAGGACTACATCAAACTTGAAAACTTTTGTTCACCAAAGGATAGAATCATTGTGAAAAAGCAGCCAACAGAATGGGAGAAAATATTTGCAATTGTATATTTAACAAGGAGTTAATATCCAGAATATATAAAGAACATGTACATCTCAACAACAGAAACTCAACTCAATTTTAGAAATGGGTGAAGGACTTGAATAGACATTTCTCCAGTGATAATATAAAATGGCTGTATTAGTCCATTTTCACACTGCTGATAAAGACATGCCTGATACTGGGAAGAAAAAGATGTTTAATTGGACTTACAGTTCCACATGGCTGGGGAGGACTCAGAATCATGGAGGGAGGTAAAGGGCTCTTCTTACACGGTGGCAGCAAGAGAAAATGAGGAAGAAGCAAAAGCAGAAACCCCTGAAAAACCCATCAGATCTTGTGAGACTTAGTCACTATCACGAGAATAGCATGAGAAAGACTGGCCCCCATGATTCAATTACCTCCCCCTGGTTTTCTACCACAACATGTGGGAATTCTGGGAGATATAAATCAGTCGAGATTTGGGTGGGGACACAGCTGAACCATATCAATGGCCAACAAGCTTATAAAATGATGTTTAACATCACTAATCATTACACAAATGCAAACACAAACCACAATGAGATGTCCACTCACACTTACTAGAATGGCCACTTTCAAACACACACAGACACACACAGAGAGAGAGAGAGAGAGAGAGAAAATAACAAGTTTTGGCAGAGATTTGGAGAAGTTAGAACCCATGTGCACTGTTGATGGGATTGTAAATGGTGCAAGCACTATAGAAAACAGTATGGCAGTCACCCAGAAAATTAAAAATAGAGCTAACATACAATCCAACAATACCACTTCTGAGTATACATCCAGAAGAAATGAAAGCAGGGTGTCTAAGAGATATTTAAATATTCATGTCTACAGCAGCACTATTTATGACTGCCAAGAGTTAGAAGCAATGCAAATGCCATCAATGGATAACTGAATAAACAAAATGTGTTATTTATATACAATAGAATACTACGCAGCCTTAAAAAGGAAAGAAATTCTGTCACATGTTACAACATGGATGAAACTTGAGGATATTATGCTAAGTGAAATAAGTCAGTCACAAAAGGACAAATTCTGATTTTATTTATATGAAGTATCTAAAGTAGTCAAATTCATAGATACAAAAAGTAGAGTGGTAGTTGCCAGGGGCTCAGGGAAAGGGGAATTATACAATGTGTATATAGTTTCAGTGTTGCAAGATAAATAAGCTCTAGAAATCTGTTGCATAACAATGTAAATATACTTAATACTATGGAACTGCACACTTAAAATGCTTAAGATGACAAATTTTATGCTATTGTTGTAACCACAGTGATGCAAAAATACCTAAAATTTTTTCTCTGCCTGGAAAGTCTTGCCCTTGAATCTTCTCATTTCTGACCCCTTCATGGCATTCACCTTAGCTCATGTTTCCTCTGTCCAAAAGAGATGTCTCTTATACCCAATGTAAAGTAGCCTGCCTAAGTCACCTTCACATACGATCTCCCTAATTTGTTTTCCTAATGGCACTTATTATCATTTGAATTTATCCTATTCACATTTACAGTATTTTCTGCTCCATCTCTGCCATTAGAATGAATTTCTATGTCTTATACGCTGCTATATGTTCAATATATAGAACTTGGAATGAATGATAGAGTCTTCTCAATAAATACTTGTGAAATAATAAATGAAATATTTTAAGAAGGATTGAGCAATGCATTAATTCTTGCTAACCTCTGAACAAATAAATCATATTCATTTCAGCAAGATGTGAAAGTTGTGTCATGTCGCAGAATGTGTTTTGTAAACAAATTGAATTATTTGACTAATGTGGGCAAAGAAGAGTGATAACACATTAAGCGGAGAGTGAGTGATAGGAAAAAGGCTAAATGTGGACATATAAAGGATTCAGTAAAATGGAAAAGCTGAATAAGTAGTTAGAATAAGGTAAAGTCACGTTTAGATGGGCTCATTTGTCATGAGTGTGAGAGGGAACAGAGAACCAAGTGAAATAGTTGGGAACTAATACAGGTATGGAGGGGAAAGAACAAAATACAGAGGCAGAATGGGGAAGTGTAAATCTTAGATGATAACCTAACATGCAAGCAGAAGTACACTTAAGACACATGTATATCTGAATTATTTGGATCAGAGGAAACATGCCATCCCTTTCTTCAGCTATGTGACACATTCAAAACCAGGATTTGTTGAGATTAATTAGAGAATGGTAATGAAAAAAGGTTGAATTCAATAAATTAATTTCTGTAAATGTTTTTGAAATTAACTTATAAGTGATGAGGACAATGATGATGATAATGATGATTATGATATACATATAGTTACAGAGACCTTTAAAATTTACTGTCTATCAATGAGGACAATCACTGACAGATACCAAGAGCCATTGTTAGAGAAGTTATTCTTGTTAAAAATTATTCACTGTGTTGAATGAAAATCTGGAAACTTCTATTTTATCTTTTTAATCATATTATTGCCCACTAAACTAATAAAGAATGCCTGCTTTTTGTGTATAAGAAGTATTCAAATATCTGATAATGCCAATCTCGACTCATATTGAATAAAGTAATTTATAGGATAAACCTCTGGTAACTCCACCCATTTCGTCTGAGAACACTCAGTATTCTGATACTCTGTGATTTTGCTTTTCAAAATTATCTTGAAAATATTTTATGCTAAAATGTATGCAATACTCCAGAAGTAGTTGTATAATTAAGGTATTATATCCCTTAATTCTGAATATTATATTTTATATTGCTAGTTTGGCAAGAAGTATCATGAGGAGAGCCCAGAGCTATCTCATTGGAACTTTTTTGTGTCAAGTCTTCTACTTACATGGCTAAATTGTTAAAATAAAAGCAAAATTCTTAATTTAATCTCAGAAATTGTCGTATTGCTTTTAGTCCAATATGATAGCTGTAATATGCAATTTTATCATCCAATATATTAGGTATTCATTCACTTTTATATTTGTAAATCTCACAACAACTAAGAGTGCTTAACAAAGTATAATAGGTAACTACAGGAGGTATTCCTCTGTACGGAAATTAGGGGCACAACAAATTAGAGCAAACACTGCAGGGAACTTTAGATTGCTACACGAGACAAGAACTATTTGACCCAGAGAACAGCTCCTTGTCCGACAAAAATAAAACTCACAAACATTGCATTTACTTATTACATTTCCCCTTACTGCAAAGAGAGAGTTTATTTTCAGAATCTGTATTCATTGCCAAGGAGAGAAGAAATCTTTAAAAATAACTGAGGAAACATACCAGAGTTACAAATATTGATCAAGTCAGACATTCATTTATAAATATGTATGTACAGTTCATCTTTCCAAAAATTTGCAGAATATTTCATATAGAGTAAATTTGGAATACACTAATATTCATTTATTTAGCAAATGTTTATTGACTACCCACTCTGTGTGGGCAGTCATTTTTTTAAACACTAAGGATAGAAATGTGAACTAGCTAATAAGGCATTAGCCATAAAGGTGCAAATAAAGAAACAGAATTAATGCAAATGAAAGATAAATTCAGTTACAGTTCACACCAGCTGAAGTATTAAAGAGCATTTTTAACAAAATAATAACAGACTGCTTTAGCATGTTAAAAATGTGATTGATAACATACATGTTAAAGCATGTGAATGATAAAAAAATGTGTTTAGTAAACAACATCTAAAGGGCTGAATAGTTAAACAGATATCACTAAAAACAAAAATAGAAAACCAAATACTAAGACAAGTGATTCTCACAGAATACCTGATAAAAGATAAAAAGATGAACGCTGTCATTGTGAAGTGTTCTTTGTAGATGTACTTAAACATGGCTTCTGCGCATAGGAAAGAATATGAAGAAGTATTTCTGGTTTAAAAAATATATTTGATTATTACAATCACCAATTCGAAACCTTGATTATTTATAGACAAATTTATAAAAATAATTTCATTTAAAATACATTTCTAGAAGTGTTTTAGAATTTTATTAATCAAATTCCCCTTTTTCAATTTCAAGCTGTGTCTAAAATATTGTAGGTTTCATTTCTTGTTTAGTGACTTTATTTTGCTGGTTAATACAAGTTGAGTATTACTATATCTATGACACCACAATTGCAAAATTCCAGACTTGACTTCATGTGATGGGTCACAATCAAAACACAGGCACATAACACAGAGATTATTCAGTGTCCCCAAGGGAAAAAGACCTTCCTGCCCCTCTTCAGCTGCAATATTTCATTTCCATACATGCCTAGATTCTCCCACATAAGTACGCTCACAAAGGTTAATAAAATGGCATATGTGCAGCCCTGACACACCAATGATTGGTTTCCAATGATGCCCTACATGGGCCCAAGACCTACATGCATTACTCACTGTGTTTTTTGCTTGTTCTCTTCTTTGAGTTTTAAAGATATTGTTGAAAATGTTTAAAAGGCCTACAGATACCTCTACAGGTAACAATGACAAGAAAAGCAGAAAGCATTTACGTTTACCTACAGCACAGAAAGTCAACCTGTTGGAGAAACTGTTGTTCCAACAGCATGACTATTTTTGCTGTAGACAAACATAGTGTAGATAGTGATATGCATTAAATATGTTACAGAAGAGCATGGTGCTGGAATGACCACCATATATGACCCCTCAAAACAGAAGGATAAACTGTTGATATTCTATGCTAAAAGTGATGAATAGAAGTAATGAAAAACAGAAAACTTGCATAAAGATAAAAATAAAGATCTTGATTATGTATTGAAAGAGTGGATCCATCAGGATCACAGTAAACAAATGTCACTTAACAGTATTCTGATCATGAAGAAAGCAAAGATCCATCACGATGAACTGAAAAGTGAAGGGAACTATGAATATCAACAGGCTCATTGCAGAAATTTAAGAAACGATAGGGGTTAAATTTTTAATGATTTATAATGATAAAGCATCTGCTGATCATGAATCAATGGATATATTTATTGACAAGTATGCTAAGGTTATCACTGATGAAAATTTGACACCAGAACAAGTCTATAATGTTGCTGAAATATCACTGTTTGGGCATTATTACCCCAGAAAGACCCTGACTACATTTGATGAGACAGCACCTACAGGAATTGAGGATATCAAGGACAAAATATTTGTGCTGGTATTTGCTAATGCAACAGGCACACATAAGAAGGCACTTGCTGTGATAGACAACAGCTTGAGTACTCCCTGTTTTCAAGGAGTGAATTTCTTTCTTTCTTTTTTCATTTTATTTCATTTTATTTTTTTGAGAAGGAGTCTTGCTCTGTTGCCACACTGGAGTGCAGTGGCGCGATCTCGGCTCACTGCAACCTTCAACTCCCACATTCAAGCTATTATCCTGTCTCAGCCTCCTGAGTAGCTGGGATTACAGGCACGTGCCACCACACCCAGCTAATTTTTGTATTTTTAGTAGAGACGGGGTTTCACCATGTTGGCCAGGATGGTCTCAATCTCCTGACCTCATGATCTGCCCTCCTTGGCCTCCCAAAGTACTGGAATGAATTTCTTACCAGTCCTATATTAATTATGCTAGCAAAAAGTTGTGGATAACCAGAGACATCATTTCTGATTGGTACCATAAACATTTTTTACTAGTAGCTCATGCTCACTGCAGGAAAGCTGATTGAATGATGACTGCAAGATTTTGTTATTGCCTGACAACTGTTCTGCTCATCCTCCAGCTGAAATTCTCATAACAATAATGTTCATATTATATATTTTTCCCAAAATATGACTTCAGCAATTCACTCATGTGGCCAGAGTATCTTTAGATCAATGAAGACTAAATGTAAAAATACTCTTGAATCAGCAAGGTAACAGTGGTGAACAGAGGAGTAGGTGTGGAAGCTTTACAAAAGGTGTTTAGCATAAAATATGCTATCTATACTGTTTCAAATACTTGAAACTGAAGACACAGGTGTGCATGTGTAACATAATCTTATCAGTGATCATGATGAGCAAGATGGTGACATTGAAGGATTCCACATGTTAAGTAAGCAAAAAAGTCTGACCTCCTTACCTATGCCAAATACATACCTTCAGAGTCTCAGTAAGCTATAAGAAGGGAATATCATATAATATTTTAACATCAATAATGAAACTGTTGTTGTTCATTTATTGATTGATAGTAAAAATAGCTGAAATTGTTCTGAATCAAGGTGATCATGATAATAATGATGATAAATGTGACATTATTAACTGCAGACAAGTGCCTATAAGACATGGTACAAATGTGTGATGAGCTTATTGAGGGACTAGAGCAGTGTGCAATTATAACAGAAAAAGGAATCATGTCAGTTTATAAAATCAAAGGGAGACTTCAAAGACAAAAATCATTGTTAATGAGGCAAATTACACTGGAGGAAACATTGTAAAAAGATACCCAGCAAAATGCCTCCTCATTCCAGAGGATCCACTTTATGGTTCCTCAAATGCTTCTGATGTTTTTTCTTGCCTGAAAAAAAAAATACGATTTATGGCAACATTTTAATCAAAACACAGCATTGTAGGTGGAGACTGAAAGCCGGCTGTCATTTGTTGTTACTACTATCGGAATAGCTGGTACAGGTATTCTGGTGATGCTACTGTGCTGCTTAGTTACCCTGAACCCATAACTTTTTCACTGCACTAATGGTATGTCATATTTTTTCTTGTTAAGTACTTATGTGTGAATAAGTATAAGAAAATTATTGCTAATCCATAGTATATAGCTTCATAGTCAGATATTATAGTGATTCCAAACAATCACAGACTGTCCACATGGGTCACTGAGGTAGTGAAACATTTGCTTTCTGATTGTTCAATGTATACCAACTTTGTTTCATTTATAAAATTATTTAAAAATATTGCATAACATTACCTACCCTGAAGGTAAGGTTTTTAAATTGTAAAAATACAAAATGAGTATATGAAACATAAACAAACCTTGTGTTTACACTTGGATCCCATCACCAAGATATCTCATTATGTATATGTAAATATTTCAAAATACTAAAAAATCTAAAATTCAAAACACTCTCATGCCCAGCTTTTCAGATGAGGGATACTCAATCTGTATACAAAACCTTGTAAAAATAATTATTTCTTGTAATTCTAACAAGTAGACTTAAATATAGTGATTCTTAAAGTTTTTTTTAAATGTCATATCCTATTAATAAGCTAGTAACATTTTTTTGATATTAAAAAGTATAATTGATTGGTATTATACTTTTTTATTATACTTTAAGTTTTAGGGTACATGTGCACAACATGCAGCTTTGTTACATATGTATACATGTGCCATGTTGGTGTGCTGCACCCATTAACTCATCATTTAACATTAGGTATATCTCCTAATGCTATCCCTCCCCCCTTCCCCCACCCCACAACAGGCCCTGGTGTGTGATGTTCCCCTTCCTGTGTCCAAGTGTTCTCATTGCTCAATTCCCACCTATAAGTGAGAACATGCAGTGTTTGGTTTTTTGTCCTTGCGATAGTTTGCTGAGAATGATGGTTTCCAGCTTCATCCATGTCCCTACAAAGGACATGAACTCATCATTTTTTATGGATGCATAGTATTCCATGGTGTATATGTGCCACATTTTCTTAATCCAGTCTATCATTGTTGGACATTTGGGTTGGTATTTGTTATTGTGAATAGTGCTGCAATAAACATACATGTGCATGTGTCTTTATAGCAGCATGATTTATAATCCTTTGGGTATATACCCAGTAATGGATGGCTGGGTCAAATGGTATTTCTAGTTCTAGATCCCTGAGGAATCGCCACACTGACTTCCACAATGGTTGAACTAGTTTACAGTCCCATCAACAGTGTAAAAGTGTTCCTATTTCTCCACATCCTCTCCAGCACCTGTTGTTTCCTGACTTTTAAATGATCGCCATTCTAACTGGTGTGAGATGGTATCTCATTGTGGTTTTGATTTGCATTTCTCTGATGGCCAGTGATGGTGAGCATTTTTTCATGTGTCTGTTGGCTGCATAAATGTCTTCTTTTGAGAAGTGTCTGTTCATATCCTTCGCCCACTTGTTGATGGGGTTGTTTTTTTCTTGTAAATTTGTTTGAGTTCTTTATAGATTCTGGGTATTAGCCCTTTGTCAGATGAGTAGATGGCAAAAATTTTCTCCCATTCTGTAGGTTGCCTGTTCACTCTGATGGCAGTTTCTTTGACTGTGCAGAAGCTCTTTAGTTTAATTAGATCCCATTTGTCAATTTTGGCTTTTGTTGCCATTGCTTTTGGTGTTTTAGACATGAAGTCCTTGCCCATGCCTATGTCCTGAATGATATTGCCCAGGTTTTCTTCTAGAGTTTTTATGGTTTTAGGTCTAACATTTAAGTCTTTAATCCATCTTGAATTAATTTTTGTATAAGGTGTAAAGAAGGGATCCAGTTTCAGCTTTCTACATATGGCTATCCAGTTTCCCAGCACCATAACATTTAATGTATACATGTGCAACATATGAAGTTTAGAAATACTGAGGTAGTGTGTCTGTTGGCTGCATAAATGTCTTCTTTTGAGAAGTGTCTATTCATATACTTCTCCCACTTTCTGATAGGGTTGTTTGTTTTTTTCTTGTAAATTTGTTTGAGTTCATTGTAGATTCTGGATATTAGCGCTTTGTCAGATGAGTAGATTGCAAAAATTTTCTCCCATTCTGTAGGTTGCCTGTTCACTCTGATGGTAGTTTCTTTTGCTGTGCAGAAGCTCTTTAGTTTAATTAGATCCCATTTGTCAATTTTGGCTTTTGTTGCCATTGCTTTTGGTGTTTTAGACATGAAGTCCTTGCCCATGCCTATGTCCTGAATGGTAATGCCTAGGTTTTCTTCTAGGGTTTTAATGGTTTTAGGTCTAACATTTAAGTCTTTAATCCATCTTGAATTAATTTTTGTATAAGGTGTAAGGAAGGGATCCAGTTTCAGCTTTCTACATATGGCTAGCCAGTTTTCCCAGCACCATTTTTTAAATAGGGAATCCTTTCCCCATTTCTTATTTTTGTCAGGTTTGTCAAAGATCAGATAGATAGTTGTAGACGTGTGGTATTATTTCTGAGGGCTCTGTTCTGTTCCATTGGTCTATATCTCTGTTTTGGTACCAGTACCATGCTGGTTTGGTTACTGTAGCCTGGTAGTATAGTTTGAAGTCAGGTAGCGTGATGCCTCCAGCTTTGTTCTTTTGGCTTAGGATTGACTTGGTGATGCGGGCTCTTTTTTGGTTCCATATGAACTTTGAAGTAGTTTTTTTCCAATTCTGTGAAGAAAGTCACTGGTAGCTTGATGGGGATGGCATTGAATCTATAAATTACCTTGGGCAGTATGGCCATTTTCACAATATTGATTCTTCCTACCCATGAGCATGGAATGTTCTTCCATTTGTTTGTGTCCTCTTTTATTTCGTTGAGCAGTAGTTTGTAGTTCTCCTTGAAGAGGTCCTTCACATCCCTTGTAAGTTGGATTCCTAGGTATTTTACTCTCTTTGAAGCAATTGTGAATGGGAGTTCACTCATGATTTGGCTCTCTGTTTGTCTGTTATTGGTGTATAAGAATGCTTGTGATTTTTGCACATTGACTTTGTATCCTGAGACTTTGCTGAAGTTGCTTATCAGCTTGAGGAGATTTCGGGCTGAGACAATGGGGTTTTCTAGATATACAGTCATGTCATCTGCAAACAGGGACAATTTGACTTCCTCTTTTCCTAATTGAATACCCTTTATTTCTTTCTCCTTCCTGATTGCCCTGGCCAGAACTTTCAACACTATGTTGAATAGGAGTGGTGAGAGAGGGCATCCCTCTCTTGTGCCAGTTTTCAAAAGGAATGCTTCCAGTTTTTGCCCATTCAGTATGATATTGGCTTTGGGTTTGTCATAAATAGCTCTTATTATGTTGAGATACGTCCCATCAATACGTAATTTATTGAGAGTTTTTAGCATGAAGCGTTGTTGAATTTTGTCGAAGGCCTTTTCTGCATCTATTGACATAATCATGTGGTTTTTGTCTTTGGTTCGGTTTATATGCTGGATTATGTTTATTGATTTGCGTATGTTGAACCAGCCTTGCATCCCAGGGATGAACCCCCCTTGATCATGGTGGATAAGCTTTTTGATGTGCTGCTGGATTCGGTTTGCCAGTATTTTATTGAGGATTTTTGCATCGGTGTTCATCAGGGATATTGGTCTAAAATTCTCTTTTTTTGTCGTGTCTCTGCCAGGCTTTGGTATCAGGATGATGCTGGCCCCATAAAATGAGTTAGGGAGGATTCCCTCTTTTTCTATTGATTGGAATAGTTTCAGAAGGAATGGTACCATCTCCTCCTTGTACCTCTGGAATCCATCTGGTCCTGGACTTCTTTTGGTTGGTAAGCTATTAATTATTGCCTCAATTTCAGAGCCTGTCATTGATCTATTCAGAGATTCAACTTCTTCCTGGCTTAGTCTTGGGAGGGTGTATGTGTTCAGGAATTTATCCATTTCTTCTAGATTTTCTAGTTCATTTGCATATAGGTGTTTATAGTATTCTCTGATGGTAGTTTGTATTTCTTTGGGATTGGTGGTGATATCCCCTTTATCATTTTTTATTGCGTCCATTTGATTCTTCTCTCTTTTCCTCTTTATTAGTCTTGCTAGCAGTCTATCGATTTTGTTGATCTTTTCAAAAAACAAACTTCTGGATTCATTGATTTTTTGAAGGGTTTTTCGTGTCTATCTCCTTCAGTTCTACTCTGATCTTAGTTATTTCTTGCCTTCTGCTAGCTTTTGAATGTGTTTGCTCTTGTCTCTAGTTCTTTTCATTGTGATGTTAGGGTGTCAATTTTAGATCTTTCCTGCTTTCTCTTGTGGGCATTTAGTGCTACAAATTTCCGTCTACACACTGCTTTAAATGTGTCCCAGACATTCTGGTATGTTGTGTCTTTGTTCTCGCTGGTTTCAAAGAACATCTTTATTTCTACCTTCATTTCGTTATGTACCCAGTAGTCATTCAGGAGCAGGTTGTTCAGTTTCCATGTAGTTGACTGGTTTTAAGTGAGTTTCTTAATTCTGAGTTCTAGTTTGATTGCACTGTGGTCTGAGAGACAGTTTGTTATAATTTCTGTTCCTTTACATTTGCTGAGGAGTGCTTTACTTCCAACTATGTGGTCAATTTTGGAATAGCTGCACTGTGGTGCTGAGAAGAATGTATATTCTGTTGATTTGTGGTGGAGAGTTCTGTAGATGTCTATTAGGTCCGTTTGGTGCAGAGCTGAATTCAATTCCTGGATATCCTTGTTAACTTTCTGTCTCGTTGATCTGTCTAATGTTGACAATGGGGTGTTAAAGTCTCCCATTATTATTGTGCGGGAGTCTAAGTCTCTTTGTAGGTCTCTAAGGACTTGCTTTATGAATCTGGGTGCTCCTGCATTGGGTGCATATATATTTAGGATAGTTAGCTCTTCTTGTTGAATTGATCCCTTTACCATTATGTAATGGCCTTCTTTGTCTCTTTTGATCTTTGTTGGTTGAAAGTCTGTTTTACCAGAGACTAGGATTGCAACCCTGCCTTTTTTTGTTTTCCATTTGCTTGGTAGATCTTCCTCCATCCCTCCTCCTCCATTAATTTTGAGCCTATGTGTGTCTCTGCATATGAGATGGGTTTCCTGAATACAGCACACTGATGGGTCTTGACTCTTTATCCAATTTGTCAGTCTGTGTCTTTTAATTGGAGCATTTAGCCCATTTACATTTAAGGTTAATATTGTTATGTATGAATTTGATCCTGTCATTATGATGTTAACTGGTTATTTTGCTCGTTTGTTGATGCAGTTTCTTCCTAGCATCGATGGTCTTTACAATTTGGCATGCTTTTGCAGTGGCTGGTACCAGTTGTTCCTTTCCATGTTTAGTGCTTCCTTCAGGAGCTCTTATAGGGCAGGCCTGGTGGTGACAAAATCTCTCAGCATTTGCTTGTCTGTAAAGGATTTTATTTCTCCTTCACTTATGAAGCTTAGTTTGGCCGGATATGAAATTCTGGGTTGAAAATTCTTTTCTTTAAGAATGTTGAATATTGGCCCCCACTCTCTTCTGGCTTGTAGAGTTTCTGCCGAGAGATCAGCTGTTAGTCTGATAGGCTTCCCTTTGTGGGTAACCCAAGCTTTCTCTCTGGCTGCCCTTAACATTTTTTCCTTCATTTCAACTTTGGTGAATCTGACAATTATGTGTCTTGGAGTTGTTCTTCTCAAGGAGTATCTTTGTGGCATTCTCTGTATTTCCTGAATTTGAATGTTGGCCTCCCTTGCTAGGTTGGGGAAGTTCTCCTGGATAATATCCTGTAGAGTGTTTTCCAACTTGGTTCCATTCTCCCTGTCATTTTCAGGTACACCAATCAGATGTAGATTTGGTCTTTTCACATAGTCCCATATTTCTTGGAGGCTTTGTTCATTTCTTTTTATTCTTTTTTCTCTAAACTTATCTTCTCACCTCATTTCATTCATTTCATCTTCAGTCACTGATAGCCTTTCTTCTAGTTGATCGAATTGGCTACTGAAGCTTGTGCATTCATCATGTAGTTCTCATGCCATGGTTTTCAGCTCCATCAGGTGCTTTAAGGACTTCTCTGCATTGGTTATTCTAGTTAGCCACTCATCTAATCTTTTTTCAAGATTTTTAACTTCTTTGAGATGGGTTCAAACTTCCTCTTTTAGCTCGGAGAAGTTTGATCATCTGAAGCCTTCTTCTCTCAACTCGTCAAAGTCATTCTCCGTCCAGCTTTGTTCCATTGCTGGTGAGGAGCTGCTTTCCTTTGGAGGAGGAGAGGTGCTCTGATTTTTAGAATTTTCAGTTTTTCTGTCCTGTTTTTTCCCCATCTTGGTGGTTTTATCTACCTTTGGTCTTTGATGATGGTGACGTACAGATGGGGTTTTGGTGCAGATGTCCTTTCTGTTTGTTAGTTTTCCTTCTAACAGTCAGGACCCTCAACTGCAGGTCTGTTGGAGTTGGCTGGAGGTTCACTCCAGACCCTGTTTGCCTGGGTATCAGCAAATGTTGATGTCTGATCGTTCCTCTGGAAGTTTCATCTCAGAGGGGTACCCGGCTGTGTGAGGTGTCAGTCTGCCCCTACTAGGGGGTGCCTCCCAGTTAGGCTACTCGGAGGTCAGGGACCCACTTGAGGAGGCAGTCTGTCCATTCTCAGATCTCAAACTCTGTGCTGGGAGAACCACTACTCTCTTCAAAGCTGTCAGACAGGGACATTTAAGTCCGCAGAGGTTTCTGCTGCCTTTTGTTCAGCTATGCCCTGCCCCCAGAGGTGGAGTCTACAGAGGCAGGCAGGCCTTCTTGAGCTGCGGTGGGCTCCACCCAGTTCCAGCTTCCCGGCCCCTTTGTTTACCTACTCAAGCCTCAGCAATGGTGGGCGCCCCTCCTCCAGCCTCGCTGCCACCTTGCAGTTCAATCTCAGACTGCTGTGCTAGCAATGAGTGAGGCTCTGTGGGCGTGGGACCCTCCAAGCCAGGCACAGGATATAATCTCCTGGTGGGCCGTTTGCTAAGACCATTGGAAAAGCGCAGTATTAGTGTGGGAGTGACCTGATTTTTCAGGTGCCATCTGTCACAGCTTTGCTGGGCTATGAAAGGGAATTCCCTGACCCCTTGCACTTCGCAGGTGAGGCCATGTCTCGCTCTGCTTTGGCTCACACTCGATGCGCTGCACCCACTGTCCTGCACCCACTGTCCGACAAGCCCCAGTGAAATGAACCCGGTACCTCAGTTGGAAATGCAGAAATCACCCATCTTCTGCATCGCTTGCACTGGGAGCTGTAGCCAGGAGCTGTTCCTATTTGGCCATCTTGGAACTGCCTCAGAAGGTTTCTTAGACAGTGGCCTAGGCAGCTTCTACATGGGCCTTTGTGGGAGCTGCCCAGGTTTTGCTCAGTGTTCTGTTTCTGTAATCTGCATCCACACCTGCTCTACCCTTGTTTAGGCTGATCTTGGTCTTTAGAAAGAAACTTGGCCATAAGTTTATGGTTTCATAGCTTAATTGTCCACAAGAAAGAATGACCTGGATCAAGGATCTTCTTTGATTTTCTTTGGGAAAAGTTTGACATCTGACCTTGGACAACTGCACTCAGATTCTGCGGGGTGACCCTGTGACCTCAGGTGCCCTGCACTTCCTTTTCCTGAGAGCTTTCACTGCTCTGGACTCTCCAGAACCACAAGGCAAGGGTTTGGCTGCAGGTGAAGGATGTGAACCAGTCCTGGAAGACCCAGTGGAAAAGGAAAGAATCCCCAGGATGAGGAATGGGAGGAAGGGTGAGAGGCTCTTCTTAGAGAAAGAAAGGTGGCTGGAGGATCAGAGAACTCTGTGTGTGTGTGTGTGTGTGTGTGTGTGTGTGTGTGTGTGTGTCTGTGTGTGTGTCCAGGATGAGGTTAGTGGAGTTCCAGAGAGACAGGGTTGCCTTCTGGGGCTGAGAATACGGATTCCTTGGTATTCAGGCTCTGGTCCTGTTCCTCTCCTGGTCCTACTCATCCTGCCTCCCACTCCTCCCTTCCTCCTCATTCTGTCCTTCAGCCTTTTTGTCACCACTCCTCCTTCCCCTTTCTGCTCCCGCTCCCCCATGTCCTGTCACCTCCTTTTCCTTTCACACACAGAGGATGCAGGTCAACACTGGAAAGGGTTGCTGCAGTCTGAGAAGCTGAAGGAATGTTTTACACCAGCAGGAGAAGCTATACAGCTATGGAAATAAATATCATGTGTATTGTTGAAAAAAATAGAACATATATCAATGGAAGAGAAGAGAGAATTCAGAAATAGATCCTTACATATATGTTTAACTCATGATTCTTAGACATGAATATAGTTATATGTATATATATAATCACGTTTTTGATGATTATCTATCTTTACCTCCAAAATAGGGAACATTAAGAGAACTTAAAAAGAAGCCACAATATAGGAGATACTATATTTATATCCAAAAAAGGATTTTTTTAATAGTATGTATATAATGCAGTCTGATAATATAAACAGCACAATGAAACGATTTGGCAAAAGACTTGAATAGATACTTCAGAAAAGAAGATACGTGAATGGTCAATTAGCACATGCAAAGATGCTCAACTCTTTAGTCATCCGGGAGATCAGTCAATACAATGATGAGATACCATTACATATCCATGAGAACAATAAAGTTAAAAAGGCTGAAAATACCACATGTTGGTAAGGATATAAAGCACTTGGAAGTCTTACACTTGTGGGAATGAAAAATGGTCCGACTTCTTTGAAAATCTGGATAACAGTTTCTTCTAAGTTTAAACACATACAAATCAGATGGGCAGTCTTTCTGTTATGGGGGGCGGGGAGGGGCAGGGAGTGGGGGGGAGGGTCCTTGCTCCCAGAGCTCCCAAGATGGTGGTGAGCCGCTTCCAAGATGGTGGCAAACCTTGTGTTCTCTGACCTGGGGTTCTTGGCTTCATGGATTCCAAGGAATGGAATCTTGGGCCATGCAGTGAGTGTTATAGCTCTATTAGAAGCTGTGGGTCATGGAAGAGAACCGTGGAACCCAGTGACTAGTGTTCAGCTCGATTAGGATGAACCCAGGCACTTAGCCATGCAGGAACAATGGCAAGCCTTCAGCCCGTTAGGGAGCGGCAATGGGTGCCTCGCTGGATCAGGAGCAAAGCAGACTCCGTGCCAGATCCGGAGGGATGGAAGTCAGCCATGGGTCTGCGATGGTGGCAAACATCAGTGGTGGACAGTGAGTGAAAGCTCAGCTTGAGCTGTAACAAACACGGACTAGAAGAGTGTGCAGTTGCAAGATTTAATAGAGTGAAAACAGAGCTCCCTACAAAGGGAAGGGATCCAAAGAGGGTAGCTGTTGCTGGCTCGAATGCCTGGGTTTATATCCCGATCATTGTCCCTCCCACTGTGCTCTCAGGCAATAGATGATTGCTTATTTCTTTACCTCCTGTTTTTGCCTAATTAGCATTTTAGTGAGCTCTCTTTACTACCTGATTGGCCGGGTGTGAGCTAAGTTGCCAGCCCCTTGTTTAAAGGTAGATGCGGTCACCTTCACAACTAGGCTTAGGGATTCTTAGTCAGCCTAGGAAACAAGCATGGTGTAGCCACACAAAGGAATACTACTCAGCAATTACAGCGTATTAACTGTTGATGAAAATACTCATACAGATGGATTAATATGATGCATGAAAGAAGGCAGACATAAAAGAACACAGGTCTAATTTCATTTACAGAAAATGGTTAAAAACGCAAACTGACCTAACTTGACACTTGCTCCCTGGGGTGGAGGGTTGAAAGAGTGATGAACTGCAAAGCCTTACAAGAAACTTTGGGCTTATGGAAATTCCCATGTCTCGATTATAGCAGTTGTTCCATTTGTGTATACATTTGTAAATATGCATTTAATTATATATTTTAAAGTGCTGCAGTCTATTGTACTTAATTTATACCTTTATAACATTGACTTAATAATCTTAATATCTCCATACTAGCAATTACCAGATAGAAAATGAAATTCAATAAAACATAATAGAGATTAATATCGAAAATCATTGCATGCTTAAGAATACATATAATGAAGCAGATACAAAGCCCCTGAAAGCTATTGGTGAGAGAAATTAAAGAAGAGTAAATAGAGAAATGTATATCATGTTCATGGATTGGAAGACTCAATTTTGTGAGGATATCACATCAACATAATTCTGATTAATAATTCTAGTAGGAGTTTTAAAGAAATGTACATGCTAATTTAAAAATGTATTTGAAAATCAAATAATCTAGAATAGGCAAGTTGGTCTTGAAAAAGTTGGAAGACTTACTCTGCTAGATTTCAAAACTCATTTTAGAGCTACAATAATTTAAAAGCTATGGTACGGGTGTAAGTATACATAAATAAAGTAAAAGAATACAGATTCAAAAAATACACCCCCTATGTACAGTTATTTAAATTTTTTAGAAACAAAAACACCAATGCCCTTCATTGGGGAAATGAGAGACTTTTCAATAGAAAGTTTCTGAGTGAAATAATATTTGTTGTTTTAAAAAGTTAATAGTAACAGCCACTTTCTACCATACATTGAAATTAACTTAAGATGTGAAAGTTAGAATTAGAAACCTTCTAAAGGAAAAAATACAAACTATTTTCATGAACTTGACATAGGAAAATATTTCTTAGACCAGAAAATATTTCTTAGACTGTAGCACTGACCACAATAAGAAATCAGTTAAATTGTACTTCATTTTTAAAAAGCTTCTGCTTATTATAGGTTAGTGTTTAACAAGGCAAAACCTATCTGGAGACCAAGAATAATTATTTGCAACATATATGCATGTTGCAAATAAATATACTTATATATATTAATATAAATATAAATATATATATATTAATATAAATATAAATATATATATATTAATATAAATATAAATATATATATATTAATATAAATATAAATATATATATATATATTAGTCTTGAGTGGGTCCAACCTCTATGGTCCCCTCTGTTTGGCATGGGGTGAGGAAGTCCACTCTGGCCTTAGAACAGCATGGACTGCCAGGCATTCTCAGAGAGGGTCTCAACTTCAGCGCTTCACATGTACATATATGAAACAATGGACTCATTCAAAATATATAAATAACTCCAATAGGTCACAAAGAAAATGATAAACAACCCAGTATATCAATGAGTGGAAAAATTTGAAAAGGTGCTTTACATAAGAAGATATCTAAATAACCAATAAGCATGGGAAAACCAAAATATCCCTACACATCTGGTAGAATGGCTAAAATTTAAAAGACTGAAAATATTAAGTGTGTGGGAATGTAGAACGACTGGAAATAGCCTATGTTTTTCATAGAAATGTAAAATAATATAATCATTTTGCAAAACTCTGTGTCCGTTTTCAGCCTTTCACCAAGAAATTCCATCCCTAGCGATCGATACCAAGGAGAAATGAGTATGTATATTCACAGAAAGAAGTGCATAAGAATATTCAGTTACTTATGCATAAGAGCCAACAAGTAAACCTGTCTACCATCACAAAAATGGATATCAAATTGTGTGATAATTATGCAATAAATAGGATATTACTAGGCCAAAACAAAATGAAATGAAAGAAAAACACAAACAAATTGGTAGCATACTGATATATCCAACTGATTAAGAGAAGTCAAAACAAGAGAAGATACTGAATGATTTCATTGTTATGAAGCACAAAAATAAGCAAAATTAATCAGCTGTGGCTGCTATAGTTTAGATATTTGTCCCCTCCCAATCTCATGTTTAAATTTGATCCCCAATGTTGGAGGTGGGGCTTAATGGGAGGTGTTTGGGTTATGGGAGTGGATCTCCATGAATAGATTAATCCCCTCCCAGGGAGAAGGTAGTGAGTGAATTCTCATTCTATTAGTTCCTGCAAGAGCTGGTTATTAAAAAGAGTCTTGAGCTTTTCCTCTCTCTTTTGCTTTCTCTTTCACCATATGATCTTTGCACACACTGGTTCCCTTTCATCTTCTGCAGGGTGGGGAAGCAGCCTCAGGCCCTCATTAAGAGCAGTTGTTGGTGCCATTCTTCTTCTGCAGCCTACAGAACTATGAGCAAAATATATCTCTTTTCTTTATAAATGACCCAGCCTCTTGTATTCCTTTATAGCAACGCAAAGGGACAAAAGGACTAAGATAGTGACAAAATTTAGAATATATTCTTCATTTGGAGGATGAGTATTGACTGGCAAGGAGCACGTCAGAACTTTTTGGCATAGAGGAAAATGTTCCCTCTCTTGATGTGGGTGTTATTATATAAGGTATAATTATATTAAAAGTCATAAGTCTGTACCCTTAGGTTTTTTGTAATTTACTCCATGCAAATTATATCTTAGTGAATAGCTGGTAGCATAAAACAAAGTGACAGATGACAAACACTCAAAAAATAGAAATTGACAGAAGATAGGTAACAAATATTCTGCAGATAAATAATAGGGATCACTTGAGAAAAAAAGAAAAAAACAATGGAATAGAACAAACACAAAAAAGTTTTATTTAAAAAAAGAGTTTGACATTTAAAAGTTTGAAATAATATTAAAGCGACACGCTGTTTCCTTGGAAACACAATGCAGAACCACAAACTCTGAGACTTATTATAGCGAAAGTATTGTCATTCAGTTCAATCTAATGGTATAAGGTTAGCTTTGAAGGCCAAAAGAAATTAGTTTCTAATTCTTATTCTTCTCCCCACTAGACTTGTGGCCTAGGGTAATTTTGTAATCTTTCTGAGTCTGTTTTCTCATCAGGAGCAGGACAATTCCTAAATAATAGATCGTATATAGAAGTAAATATGATCTCATGGCAGTGGACATCAACCACAGTTAATTATTAAGAATATATTTACATTGAGCTATCCTTTATCTACTTTAAAATTGCAGACAAACAACAATTGACAAAGAATAGATAAAATGTTCTAACATAAACATTCTTCCATTCTTTCTAGGAAGAAGTCACACATACAGTAAAAATAATTAGAGAGGACCCAGTTCATATCGAACAACCTTCCCCAAACCTTGAAACAGGTCTGCTTTCTAACATCGGAGATGAAAGCAGTCTATTCCAGACAGAGGGGCTTGTAGGGGTTGGACCCCCTGCAGGCCTGTCTACCTGGAATAGACTAAGAAAGTCTGCTCCAGCCTTAGAACAGCATGGGCTGCCAAGCATTCCCACAGAGGCTCTCGACTTCAGCTCTAGATGTGCTGAGGAATACGTGCACGTGGGTCGGGTTAAGGCCAGCTGAATCACCCTATCAGGGCTGTCATCAGCATCAAAGTCAGTGGAAGGATGCCAGTCCCCAGAGCTCTGTTCCAGGCCACGGGATGCTCCCTGGAGGGGTGGTGGGCATATCAGTACCAATCAGGCAAATATCAGTAATAGACAAGAGGCATAAATAAACAATGTCTGTCCTCCACTAAAACCCAGGAAAGTTCTCATTCCAAAAGCGATGTCTTGAAGAAAACATAGGTATAAATCTTTGTGATTGTGGATTAGACACTTCTTAAGTAGCACAAGCAACACCAAAATAGAAAGATAAATGGACTTCATTAAAATAAAAAATCTTTCATGCTTCCAAGGACTCTGTCAAGGAAGTGAAAAGATAATCCATGTAATGGGAGAACTATTTGCAAATCATATACCTAACAAGGGTCTAGTATCTACAGTATATAAAGAATTCATATAAGTGAGCAAAAAAGACAATTTAAAAATGGGAAAAAAGTTTGAATAGACATTTCTGTAAATGATACATACAAGTGGCCAACAAGCACATACAGAGAGGTTCAATGTTTTTCCTCATTAGGAAAATGTAAACTTAAATCAAAATGAAATACCACTTCAGACCCACAAGGGTGACTTTAAAAAAAACACAACATATGTTTGGAAAGTTATGGAGAAAATGGAATTCTCATATATTACTAGTGGGAATGTAAAATGCTGTAGCCACTGAGATTGGAAAACAGTCTGTCAGTTCTTCAAAAACTTAAACATAAAGTCATATATGATGCAGCAATTGCACTCCTAGGTATATAACCAAGAAAATTAAAATCAAATATTCACTCAAAAACATGTACAAAAATGTTCATAGCAGCATTATTCATAATAGTGAAAAAGTGGAAACATCCCAAACCACCATCAGTTGATGAACAGGTAAACAAAATGTGGTATAACTATAAAATGGAATATCATTTGGCCACAAAAAGGATTGAAGTACTGCTGCATGCTACAACAAGGATGAACCTTGAGAACATTGTGCTAAGTAAGAGATGCAGATGCAAAAGGCAATGTTGCATTATTCCATATACAGGAAATGCCCAGATCAAATATATCTATATAGAGAGAAGGTAGATTAGTGTTTGTCAGGGACTGCAAAAACGGGGTAATTGGAGAGTGACTGCCAGTAAGTACAGGAATGCTTTCCAGCATTGCCAAAGTATTCTGAAATTAGGTAGTGGTGATGGTTGCAAAACCTTTGGAATATAGTAAAAGACGCTGAATGGTATGCATAAAAATGGTGACTTTTGTGATATATGAATTATACTTTAGAAGTAATAATAGCAACAGTAATAAAGAGAGGTATCTTTCCACACCTCCATGTCCTGTATTTTTATTAAGAAAGAAAAAAAAAGGCTTTTTAAGGCCAGGTTCAGTGGCTCACTCCTGTAATCCCAGCAATTTTGGAGGCCTAGGTGGGAGGATGGTTTGAGGCCAGAAGTTTGAGAGCAGCCTGAGAAACATAGCACCACCTCATCTCTACAAAACATTAAAAAACTTAGCCAAGATAGTGATGTGTGCATAGAGTTCCAGCTACTTCTGAAGTTCGGACAGGAGGATCGCTTGAGCCTGGAAGTTTCAGGTAGCAGTGAGCAGTAATCACTACTGCACTTCAGCCTGAGTAACAGAATGAGACCCTGTCTCACAAAGAGCCATGTCACATAGTAAGTGGCCAGAATAGGTTGCTGACAGCATGTCTAGAGGAAATGTATTAGATGAAACATATTAAATTCAAAAACTTTTTTTGAGGCGGGGGGCAGAAATGAGGTACAGGGGAGAGAAACACCTACTTGGAAAGAACCACACAACTGAATTGGAAAACTTGGAATGGGGCTTGTGGGAGGGGGACTCTACCTGAGATCTGGCTCCAGTACTTACAGCAAAGGGAACTTGGGTGGGTTACAGACTCTCTGTGCCTTGGTTTCTTCATCAGCAAAACAGAATCATCCCATAAACTGTAAGGTCCGTGGTATCAGAGGGTCCCCAAACTGACTGCACATCTGAGTCATGTTAACAAACACATTCCAGGCCCCACCTGAGCACGCTGAATCAGAATCCCTGCAAGGAGGACACTGAACCTGTATTTGCACTGACCTTCCAGGTGTTTCTTACTCTGATCAACTTGGGGGTAGGAACCATTGAGCTGCATCACATCATTCCAAAGCCCAAACACAAAAGCAGAACAAGAATATATTCAATGCAGTCTCCAAAGCAGAGAAATCTCTTGGGGGAACCTAGAAGTGAAGGAGACCTGGCTTGCTGGGCTCCATCTTAACTTTATCCTGACTACGGCAGAGACACGAGCCCTTCGGGACACATGCCTGAGGCAGTGACAGTCCAACTTTGGAACAGTGGAAGCCCTAGTTTCAAATTCAAGCTTGCTTTGAGTAGAAATTAAGTTTACATCTTTTTGTACAGCAACAAGGCCAGTCTTCTGCAAGCTGCTTACCTTACAAGGAAAAAAAACAAAATCCTACTACTAAGAATTCAAACTTCAGCAGACATGGGTAAGGAAGTCTTATAAATCTGTTCTAGCCACCTAAAAATAAACCAGAAATTTAGCAAGTTCTTTCACATTCAGGACAGTGTGTTCACTAGATCAGAGGCACTGAGACATGAAGAAAAGACCCGCTAAAAAGGGAAAGCCTTCCTTCCTGCCCTAGGACATCCCTGCCAACTTCAGGGAGGTGGGAACCCAGCTGCGCTCTCTACAGTATGGGTTACTTTTGTGTCTGGAAGGTGTCTGACATCCTGAGACCTGGACCCATTTCAAGGAGCTTTGGGAAGAGCCCAGATCACTGATGGAATTGGACAGTGCATGGAAATGGTTCAGCAGGACGAGGGTAAGTGCAGGATCACGGCCAGGTCATTCTGAGAGACAATGAGTGGCACTGATGGGGTCAGACAAAGATTAAAAACAAAAGTTTGTGCTTCGACTTCAGAAACTCAAATCAATAACTAATTTGCTCTTGTAAGTAATAAGCAGCATTTTTCTATCTACATGAGAATTTAGTCTCAAAACAGAAATCAGAAAAAATATCAAGTCCAGGGCATAAAACCTAAACCGGTGCTTACATTTATTCATTCTAAATAGAGCTAAGAGTAAAATCTTCTCCATAAAATATATATTGTATCTATACATAAAATATATATTGTATCTGAGTTCAGGGTATGATGAGTGTGACCAAGGACTACCCAGCATTCATGTGGAAGTGAAGGAAGAGGACTGGATCAATCCCAGTGGAAAGCGTGCCTCTCAGCAGCCTGCACCATCCTCCACCTACACTGTGTAATGACAGTGCTTTGAGATGTAGCAAAGGCTATAAATTTATCTATTCTCTGTTGTCTCAGAGACCTGACATTCTGTGTCAGAATGAAAAGTTATAACAAGGCAAAAGTCTTAATGAGAATCATTGGTACTCAATAGAATAGTGAATTAAATACAGCCAAGGGAAGACCCAAGTCTCATATTTCTCTTGTATATTCCAAAGTTTCAGTGAAATTCCAGGTAATAGAGGTTATTTCCCACACTGTTAAAGCAAGGTTGCAGACACTTCTGAATTTCGGTCCCAGTGCTGAAGGAGGGCACACCTCTGTCCTGGAAAATGACACAGGAATGAATGCTCTTCCCATGACTCATTCTGGTCATTCTTCCAGCATCACAGAAACCAAAAAATAGAAATATAGCCAAATACATGATTTGCTATCCCTCTTCTTCAGGTTTCTTACCTGTTTCTTATGGATAATAACATTGCCTTAAGGATTATGATGAAAATATGATATCCAAGTATGTGTACAGTTTTGAACAAAATGCCTAGTATGAATTGGTCAATAAATAATTATGTGACTATTTACTGAATTACATGGATTCTATAAATAATTACTGAATAATTATTGTGATTCCTTTTATTGGCAGTGCTCAAAATGCATCCCTGTGTGACCTCAAGTAAACCAGTAACTTTGTGAACCTACAGTTTTATCATTTTTAAAATGAAGAAACTAGACAGATTTTCATTCTGACACAGAATATCAGGTCTCTGAGACACCAGAGAATAGATAAATTTATAGCCTTTACTACTTCTCAAAGCACTGTCATTATACAGTGTTGGTGGAGGATGGTGCGGGATGCTGAGAGGTGCACTTTCCACTGGGATTGATCCAGTCCTCCTCCTTCACTTCCACATGAATGCTGCGTAGCCCGTGGTCACACTCATCACACCCTCAACTCAGGCAAGTCCAGCAGCCACACTTAGGAGACCTGGGCTACAGGACAATCTCCCAAGTCCTAGCCTCACAAAACCTAGTTGAAGATGGAAGCTGCGAAAGTGAGGAGGTGGTTTGAGGGAGCACGCTCCCCTACTCATCCCTCTCATCTCAAACTCACCTTCTACTGCACAGGAACACTGAGGATCACCAACCACCCCTGACCATGAGCTTGATCTTGCCAGGTTTTGTTAGTGGAATGCAACCACACATCAACAGTGTTAGAGCAACTCAATATATATATATCTCCAACAATATTCCCTGAGAAGCGTTCAATGCCCTGTTCTTTTCAATATACGGGAAAACTAAAAACAACAAAATACCATCAGGTTTACAAGATTTCCCAAGATACATGGTCACACATGTTTTCAGGGGATATATACAAATGATTTTGATCACTTGATACCTTGAAAAGAGCTATTTTGGGACCAGAATGATATTCGTAAGTGACAAGTATGAAATGAGTGTTCAGTGACATTAAAAAAGCAAACCAACCCACACATAGAGGAAGAGCTTTGGACGTAGGGATGTGAAACTGGTCTTAAGTGTAATGAAAAGCCAAGATGCTGCCCCAGTAAGAGAAAAGAAATCAACATAACAATGGGATGCAGCAAGAATACTGAGACAGGGTAGAAAATATTTTTTAAAAGTGAATTATTCCTTCATTTTCAGTCGATACAGAAAAAACTGCAGAAGACCCAGAGGGATATCATAGCAGACTAAAAGTTTTCTATCTTTCACTTGTGGAAAAGCATTAAGATCATTTTACCTTAAAAAGAAGGTGAGGTGACTTCATGACTACCACTAAGAAAATATAACCTTCTGGAAAACTATCCCTACCTTGATGATTTTATACACACAAGAGATGAACAATGAGGAATATGCTTATATGTATTGAGAAAGAGGTGGGCCTGTAGCATTGTCACAAGGGTGCACAAATACTGAGAGTGACTGCTGAAGAAATGGTCCCCATCAGTGACCCTCAGGTGAGACCAGGGGGCCTAGTGTTTCAGCACAGCCTGGGCAATTGGAATGCAAGGATCCTAAGATTCCATGACACCCCCACCTTCTAATTCTGTTATTGCAACTGCAGACCGTTACCTGGCATGCTGGCTGCTACCTCGCTCACTCTTGTCAGAGTCGGAGCTACAGTCAGTGCCTTCAGCTCTGAGCTCAGGCATACCGGTCCCTGTTTTTGCAGTTAAGGACTCTAAAGTGTTGTGACGTGTTCATCAAGTTTTTCTCAACCATAAGTTAACAATTCCAGTAATTGTCATCTCTCAGTCCTGATTAAACCTAATTGATTTCACTAGTTTTTGACCCATCATGTGTTTGGGTTTCTTCTCCCCAGTCCCTGGCTCTACCTCTTCTGCCACAAACGTCAGCATGGTGGTATCTGCCGACCCTTTGTCCAGCGAGAGGGCAGAGATGAACATCCTAGAAATCAACCAGGAATTGCGCTCCCAGCTGGCAGAGAGCAATCAGCAGTTCCGAGACCTCAAAGAGAAATTCCTTATATCTCAAGCTACTGCCTACTCCCTGGCCAACCAGCTGAAGAAATACAGTAAGTTCTATAGATTCACAATGATGAATGTGATGAATGATCACCTGTGTTCTGAGAAACTGAACGGTCTTTTCATCGAAATTAATTTCATCCTTCCCATACTTCTAGGAAAATAGAAGTGGATGTTTTAACCTCATTTTGTTAAACATGGAAAACAGAGGCACAAAGTATTTAGCAACTTTTCCACATTGGCAGTCTGGTGTGAGGTGGGACTAGAGTTAAAATCCTACTTATTGTCTTCTGACACAGGCACAGAACCACCTGTTTTCCTTAGTAAGAGGCTAAATCATGTTTATGAGAATCCTCTCTGTACCATGTAAGATTCTACAGACAAGTAACATCTAGTCTGTTGGTCTAAATGTCTGGGACTAATGAACTTCCATTCAGTTCAAGCTTCTTTGAGGCCCAATAGGCAAAGCTCCATCCAGGGGACCCTGGGGGAAAAATGGCAACTGTACAGAGTACCCACTCTAAGGAGCTTAAAGAGGAGACTGCTCCTAACAGAAACTGTGATATCTGTGACACCCTTCAAAGCAGGGAGTGTCCCGGTGAGAGGGAAGTGCTGCTTCCTGGGGCACAGGCTCTTATTCCTGAAGAGGAAGAAAGATGGCACATAAGACATTGTGGAGGTAGCAGTGTAGTGTGCAGAGCAAGGACCCTGGGCCAGTCTCCTGGGCTCCATCCAAGTTGCCTATCTTCTCTGTGCCTCAGTTTCCTCATCTGCTCATTGAGTACTATAATAATACCTACCTCTGTAAATTACTGCAATGAATTACATGACCTATTTCTTGTAAATTTCCTAGAACAGTTCTTGGAACAGAGTAAACACTATCTATTAGCTCTTCATTCTACTATTTCTAACTTAATTCAAACTTTATTAGTATTTGGGCATATTTCTATTACAGCCTCACGGTCTTGTGCCTCATATTTTATGCAATCATATCCAGATATGATTTTTTAAATGTTTGACATATTTGCACTTGAAATTCCCAGTACAAGGGAAACTTTGGGTCCCATAGTCCTAGGGCCTTCCTGACTGTATAGAAAATCACTACTTCATGCACCAGTCCAGTGTTTTACAGGAGAGGCTGCAAGGCTTGGGAAAGTGGCCCAGGATTCAGAGTCAGACCTCAGGTGCTGTGAATTCTGACTCCACCTTCTTCCAGGTGAATCATCTTGTCAAGTTACTTGATGTGCCCTTGCGTTTCTTTCTCCCTATCCCTGAGTTGGGGAGTATCAGATGCCAGAAAGTTGGGAGGTTGATAAATAAAGATGTGGAAATGCCTGCCTGGAGCCTGGTACTGGAGCTGCTTTCGTCCTTGGGATGGATGGTGCCGCCTGCCCTATAGGCAGTGACCCCAGCAGCATGTCCCACCTTCCACTGAGGCAGGCGTGTCTGTCTTTTCTCAGAGTGTGAAGAGTACAAAGAGTACAAAGACATCATAGACTCTGCCAATGTTTCCATGTAGCATTAGAGATTCTTTTGATTTAATCTGTCCCTCTAAATGCAAATTCTACAAAAACACTGACAACAGCTTATCAGAAGGAAACATGCTGAATACTGCAGTAACCTGCTAGGAAGCATTAAAGTAGATCCCCAGGATCTGTTAGTAAACAGGATATGGTTAACAGTTTGCTGTGACTCAAGACAGAAGGGACTGTGATGATGACCTGTCAGATCAGGGAGATTTGCTCCATGACTCAGGAAAGCAAACCTAGTGACTTCTCACAAGGCTCACCCTGAGACCTCCTGGAAAGTTTCTCTCACAATAGCCTGTTATCGCACTGCGTATATCTATGCCCCTATGTAGATTTGGACACAAGGTTGTGCATATGTGAATGTGATCAAGTTCATCTGGCTGGTCTTCTCTTAATTTATTTACAGAAAAGCAAAATGATCTTGAAGAGGTGAAAGGACAAGAAACAGTTGCTCCCAGGTAACTGAGAAAAATCAGGGGCTGTCTATTCAGGGGTGATATCTGTGAAACTCATCTCCACAGAAAACCAGAAAGTCCTGAATATACCTGATTCATCCCTTCAGCCAACCGGAAATGATCCTTTTTAACCATGTTTTACATTTTCATTGTGAAACTTTTAATGTTTGCCATTTCTTATTAACTTCTCAAGTTCAGTACATAAAACCACTTGACCTTGTGAACAACTAATCAGTCACACAGATTTCCTTAAAGTAAGTATCTTCTTCTTATGGTGTCAACCAGCCTGAGATGCATATCTGCTTTCTGCTGGTTTTGCATTAGCACAGTGGTGAGCATTTCAAGGCAAGGAAATTAGGTAGAAAAAATTATTGTTATACCATGCACAATATTAAGAGGATTTGATGACATGCGATTTTGGGGATATGATTATGCCTCAAAACCTATGTTTACTTGGCCACTACACATAAAATTTAACATCATTTAAAAGAAAGGAATGAAACCACTGCTATGGGACATGATATTCAGTAAGTCACGACTCTACCATACAGAGAGACTCAGTCTCCTTCCTCAGAAAATCATAATCTGGCTACTTTGCTGAACACCTGATGCTTCTCTCTCTCTCATCTCTCTCTTTCCCTCTCTCTGTATTGCAACCTACCCATGGCAACCACACTGTGCCCACCAAGAAGAGGAGAATATTTAACTCTTTAATGGGTTGACCCATTTGTTTTCTGCGATCACTCCCTCATGCCTCACGTGAAATCCAGCTAGGGCTCTGAAACTCCTTGGATTAATCTTTAGTCCTTCTTACCCTACAGGCTCAGCAGGGGACCACTGAGAGTAGACAAGTATGAAATCCCCCAGGAGTCACTGGATGGATGTTGCTTGACTCCTTCCATCCTTCCTGACCTGACTCCCTCCTACCACCCTTATTGGAGCACTTTGTACTCTTTTGAAGACAAGCAAGTCAGCTTGGCTCTTGTAGACAGTGAGTACTCCATTGTGAACATGATAAATCTCCAATTGGTGTCCCAGGTAGACTCCATAATCCTTGCACTTCACATCCCTGGCTGGACTGAGATGTGTCATTGGTGTGGTCATGACTCACAGACACAGGATGATTTGCATCAGCATCAAAAATCAAGTTGGAAGCACAGACAGGGGTGGGTCAGTGAGCTTTGCTCTCTTCCTCATCTCAGACCATGCCTGTGTCACCGTGCGCCCACTGTCACGACATTGACAAATTCACACCAACCTATGCAGCACGTGCCCAACAGGTGTCTGTCAGGCCTCTTAATCTGAATAAGATTTGTCTTGCCAGCTATTGTGTTCCTTACAAGTTCCTTTCCCCAACCATGTCCTATGAGATTCTATGCCTGCCCAATGCCTGTGGCATTTTTGTCTACTTTTCATTGAAGATATTACCCAGGTTTCAAAGAACCCAGCCTCATTCTCTATGTCTTTGATGTTACCCTGTTTTAGCTGAGTAGTCCATTACCTTTTGTTATGTTTCTAGAAACAAGATTGGGCCTTGTCACTCCTAGATGTCACGAATAGCCAATGCCTCTTTGTATCACCAAAGATTCATTTTCATTCAAGGGTCTGTAGATTCCCTCCTACATTCTAGTTTCAGTGTCTAAAATCCTTGTAACCACGAGCAACGTGAGTATTTGATGATTGAAAGCTGAATATTGCAGTTTTCCTTCTAGAAAGCAGCTGGGGTATTTGCCTTCAACTGGTGTGAAAAATTTGCATAACTGTTTGCACAAAATCAGGACAGATGATGTTGGGATAATGATCTACCAGAACAGGGAGATTGCATTCCTAGGCTCAGGGAAGAAAACCAAGGCATCTCTGTCATGACAGGACCTCAGGCCTCCTGGAATATTTCTCTCACAGTGTCCTGTTCTCCCACTGAGGAAACTGACATTTCTATGTTAGGGTTGCACAGTGGATTGTTTATGTGTGTAGGAGAACCTGCTTAATCTGTCTGTCCCTTTGTGAATTTATTTATAGAAATTAAAAAGGATCAAGAGGAGGTAGAAGACCAAAGCCCACCATGCCCCAGGTAACTCTGAGGAATCATGGACAGTTAATTCAGTGTTGATATCTGGAGTCTCAGATGCAGGGAAAATCAGAGTGTGCTGAATATACCTGTTCCATCTGTTCAGCCAACCATGAAATGCCATATTCATAAGGTTGACTCTTTTCATTGTACACCTGTATTTCTAGTTCCTCCTTATTAATTCCTTTCGTCTAATCTGCATTCAGTTGACTCTGTTGAACTGATCACTCACAGACATTTTCTGCAGTCCCCTTTTCTGTCCTTTTTGCTTAAAGTGAAGTTGAGTTGCACATCTGATGTCTGCCTCTTTGGCATTACCATGTTTGCAAGTATTCGATAGCAGGGAAGTGAATGAAAATAAATCATGCCATGCTACAATGTTGAGAACAAGAGCTGTTGAGGATACAGGAACTCTGTGAAGACTCAAGAGCCTGTATTCATTTGGCCACTGATGCTAATTTCAACAAAATGTATGCAAAAGTGCCAAATGCACTGTGTCCTGGCAGTTCCCCACAGGGATCACTCCCTCTGCTTCCTCCCCAGCTCATTGCCTGCCCAGTGCACTGAGAGCCTGTCATGCTCTGTCTCCTACTCGAGACAGGGAAGGATGGTTGTATCTCTCTCAGGGGAATGTACTTTGCTTCCTCTGGGCCTTCCTAAGGGCCTCCCTATAGAACCAGCTGGGTGTTGGTTCTCTCTGGTGTTTATCTTCTGTCTTCTTTACCCCAGGCTCAGCCAGGAGCTGCCAGAGGTGAAGGAGCAGGAAGTCCCAGAGGACTCCGTGAATGAAGTTTACTTGACTCCCTCAGTTCACCATGATGTGTCTGACTGCCACCAGCCTTATAGCAGCACCTTGTCCTCATTGGAGGATCAGCTTGCCTGCTCTGCTCTGGATGTAGCCTGTGAGTACTTCACCCTGGAGGTCACAAAGCTCCACTGTCCTCCCAGGCAGCCTCTGTATGTTTTGTTTCCTGCAACTTGTGCAGCTGAGACAGACCATCTCTGCAGCAGGCTCTATACACTGAGCTTGTTTTGAATCTGGCTCTTGGATCCAGTTTTAAGCACAGACATCCACTGGGTAGAACTTCCTCTTCTCCTGTTCCAAGTGCCTCCTCTGTCACCTGGCTCCTTCTCACAGGAGCAGGCTTTGGCTATCAAAACAGGCCAGAGAAGGGAGTGGTGAGGGCTTATGGCAAATTCTTGGCCACAGTAGCTCAGCTGGAGAAATTTATGTAACAGACCTCCTTCTTTAAGATAGGGCATCTCTCTTTTCTGAAATTATCTTGCTAATTCCATGTCTTTATTTTTTCTCTGGCCATCCACATATGTTGGGAGTTTTGAGCAATTATTTGGAGGCCTGTTTCATGATTCCTGTGTCCCAAGCTAGATTTTCTTCTTCAGGGATCCCCAGCCCTGGGGCCATGGGCCATTATGGGTCCATGACCTGTTAGGAACTGGGCCGCAGAGCAGGAGGTGAGCGGTGGGAGAGCATTTCAGCCTGGATTCCACCTCCTGTCAGATCAGCAGTGGCATTAGATTCTCACAGGAGCTCGAACTCTATTGTGAATTGTCCATGCCAGCAATCTAGATTGTGTTTTCCTTACGAGAATCTAATGCCTGATGATCTGTCACTGTCTCCCAGTAACTGTCACCCCCAGGTGAGACCATCTAGTTGCAGGAAAACAATCTTAGGGCTCCCACTGATTCTACATTATGGTGAGTTGTATAATTATTTCATTATATATTCCAATATAATATTTATAGAAATGAAGTGCACAGTAAATGTAATGTGCTTGAATCATCCCAAAACCATCCCCACCAACCTGGTGTCTGAAAAATGGTCTTCCATGAAACCAGTCCCTGGTGCCAAAAAGGTTTGGGACTGTGGCTCTACTTCCTCTGGGGTGTCTTCCCTCCACTGACGCAGTCCAGCGACCCTTCCTTTATGTGTGGCCAGGCTTGCATCCTCTGCAGAGCTCCAGTGGTTTTCTCCATGTGTGGGTTTGTAGTGTCAATCAAGTTTTGGTCTCAGTGCTCTATTCTCATGAAAACCATCGACAACTAGTGTCCCTCATGAGGCTCTGGCCTAACCAATGAGCAAAGCAGAGTGGTTCCTGTCCCCATGATGTCCAGAAAACCCTTCTTCTGAACAATCGCCCCTTGAGATAGAAGCTTCACAGGATGTGTAAAAAGAAAATCCAATTTTCATTTCTTCTTGCTCATTCTCTTTTTTTTTTACTTCAATTCTGGGAATTTCATGTGGATTGTTGGGGGTTTTACCCATTATATTATCTTCTAGTAAGAGCAAGTAACTCTGTGAGGTCCCCCAGTATATTGGATTATGTTGTAATGAGATTAGCAAAAATGCCAGGTGTGTTGACTCATGCCTGTAATTCCAGCACTTTGGGAGGCTAAGGAGGTGGATTGCATGAGCTCAGGAGTTTGAGACCAGTGTGGGTAACATGGTGAAACCGTATCTGTAAAAAAAAAATTAGCAGAGTATGGGGGTACACACCTGTAGTCCCAGCTTTTTGGGAGGCTGAGGTGGAAGGATCACCTGAGCCTGGTTAGTTAAGGCTGCAGTGAGCCACGATTGCACCACTGCACTCCAGCCTGAGCAACAAAGTGAGACCCTGTGTCACACACACATAAAGAAAGAAACTAGCAACAAAAATGTTGGCCTCTATTCTATTTTGGTCAGTAAGTGCCTTTCATACTGGGACCAGCCCCTTTCCCATTTTGCATTTCTCCCTGAGTTTCAAAAAAGCAAATGCCTTTCTAGCATCACAGTGATTCATGAAACAATTAAAATACACACTGACCTTGCACCTGCTGTAGGCCCTGCCCCTTTGCAAGCAAGCTCTGTCCTGCTATAAACCATTCAGGGATCAAGGGACACTCCCAAGTGGGCAGTGGCATCTCCATGTTGGAGCTGAGAACAATGAGGCATTTTTAAGAAAACTTAGAAAACCTTGGAGAGAATGAAGATGTGGAGAGGGGAGGAGAGAGAGGAGCCCCACAGCAACGTGGATCCGGTCTGCAGGCCCCGTCCCCACCCTGAGCCCGACCTGGACTGGCGTGAGGTCATTGGAAGTCTTTTCTTAGTCCACTCAGAATGTGTATTCCTCTCCCTGTGGAAATGGAAATAATTTGTTTAAGGGGTGCCACCCGAACCCCACTGGAGGAGTGCGTAATGTGAGGATCATGTCCTGTGTTGCCTTCCTAAGGAACCGCACGTGCTGATCTGTAGCACTTGTGGCCCCTGAATTTGCAGGAAGGGACTGGTCCCTCTCCTACATTGCCTATGTCTGCTGACACCCACTATATGGCAAGAGGATGGATATGTGTGGGTAGGGGGTCAAACCATTATAGTCAATGGGAAATTCAAAATGTCCCCGAACCCAGAAAAGTTTGCCTCACTTAGTGTTTGGTCTGTAGCATCCCAGCCCCCTTTTTCGTGGTTCTTTCTCAAAGCCTCGCAGCTCTAACTCTTGACCCGTTCTTACACCCCTGTGTGTGGAGAAAAATAACCACTCCTCTCCTGTGCTCTGAGGCCTCTCTAGAACTTTCCCTCTGGGCACAGGAAAGAGATGAATAATAACAGAATAATCGGGATGGTCTTGTTAGACAATCCAAAGCCCTCTGGGCTGAAGCAGAGGTTTTTCACCTCAGGGACACCCCAGCCTGGGCCCCTACCGTGTCAGCGTCCCCAGGCACAGGCAGGAGAGGTGATGTTGCCTGCATTTACATGATGTCTGTCTGTGTGGTGTGGGTCACTGGGTGGCTTTACTGAGAGCAGGGACATCAGGGATGGGTGTTCCGGGATTACTTAACAAAGGGAAAACTGAGATTGTTCCTACTGAAGCCCCTTCTCCTTTCAGCCCCCACCGAGGCGGCCTGTCCCCAAGGGACTTGGAGTGGAGACTTGAGCCACCACCGGTCAGAGGTTCAAATTTCACAGGCACAGCTGGAACCAAGCACCCTGGTGCCCAATTGTCTGCGACTACAGCTGGATCAAGGGTTCCACTGTGGGAACGGCTTGCCCCAGCGGGGCCTTTCCTCCATGACCTGCAGCTTCTCAGCCAATGCTGATTCTGGGAACCAATGGCCCTTCCAAGGTAGGGAAGGAAACGGCGTCATGAAGCTCTAATCCAGGTGTTGGTGGTCACGACGGTGCTGTGGATGGAGGAGAGAATGGGGCGTCCCATGCTTCCTCAGGGTCAAGTTGAAATCCATGGTGCTCCAACCCAGTGAGGTGAGCAAAGGCCTTGGAGCTTAGGACCAAATCTGCTCTCAGGACCTGGGTTTGCCACTTTCTGCTTGTTGACTTTGGCCAAGGTTTTTGTCTTTTTGCTATTTATATCTCTGTTCCCTCATCTAAGATACCTGAAGAATAATATCTACCTGCAATCATAATTTCCAAAGGGTCTGATTCCATAAGAATTGCCCAATAAACCTATGAGTAGGTGTTATCTAATCCTTTTATCTTTCTGCTAAATTTACACTTAGCAAGTGACTTCACGGACGATGTCTCCTCTGAGGTAGAGCAGTTATGAAGATCTCTGCTTTCTAGGGCCCCTCTTCCTTTCCTTTCTCACACAGACTCTTCTGCCAGTTTTCTTCCTCTCCTTCCCCATCCCTCATGAAGCCAATTTTCCCCTGTCAGGCACTTTCAATAACAACCTATGAGGCACATTGAGTAACAGTGTAAATCCTGGGCCCACACTCAGTCTCCTGACATGTCCAGCTTCTTCTGCTGTTTTTACTGCTTTTTTTGAAATAAAAGGGCAACTTTCACATGGAAAGTGTTCACATCAGTCTCTTTTATGAAATTCCATTTAGTTCACATTCTCCACTCATGTCCGTGGCCATGTCCTCAGTTTCCGTCTCACAGGCATCCATTTCTGCTCAGATTATCTTAAAATCCTGGGTCGTGTTCATTCTCACTCTCCATCCCACTCAGTATCTCCTCCTGGAGCCCCTGGGGCTGCCTGGTGCTCATCTGTCAGGCGATGCCCTCAGCTGAGGAATGAGGGAACCCCTGTCCTCAGGGGGAGGGAGGGTTGCGTGAGATAATGAGCACCATCTGGGCCAGTGGAGAGGACATATGGAAGGTGCTCAGGGAGTGTCGGGGGATGCGCAGTCCCTGACATGTGCCATGATAACTTATTTAGACTGATTTCTTAGCACTGAACTCTCTTTTGCTTCTCTGTGGATTCTCACACCCCCAGCCAAGACTCACCCCACTGGCTCAGACACACTCCCTCTTGCTCACTTTCCCTGGAGTCCAGAGCCTGAACCAGGCTCCAGGTAAGAGGACAGAGTGAACGCCTTTCGTTTCATTAACACTTTCCTTCACCTGGTGATTTCTCCCTGCTGTCTACCAGGTCATTTGTTTCTCCCATACTTATTCTTTCTCATTCTTCTCATGTCTCCAATTATTTTTCCAATTTCGATGGACCAGAATAGTGACTCTACTGTTACATTCAATCCCTCCCAAATCCCTATATTTTTTTTCTTTAAATTAATGTGTACAGATATATGCACATATATATATCTGTATATGTATATATATATGTATAATTTGTCCTATTATGTGTGACTATGTATATCTGGTGTGTATGCTATATAGGGTGTATATATATATATGCAGTAGATCATATAATGATGCAACTTTTGTAAATTCTCTAGGTTTAGTCTTCCTGGTTCTTTTCTCTCATCAGTTGCTGTCACCTATGTCTGGTCTCACCTCTGTGCCACATGGGCTGCCACCCTGCCAGGCCCTTCCATTCCCATCTCCTGTTTGAACCCAGTTCTGATTTAACTTTGATTTTGTAATCTCTTCTCTCCCCAAAGCATAGCCTACATACAGTGTTATTTCCTTACCTTTGCCTTATCTACCTGGAAGCTATTTGTGTTTCTGAATCCTATGTTTCTTGAAAATTTTTGTGAATTGGCAGTGCCTTTGGCTCCTGGCAATCTTGTCGTTACTGAGTAATGTAGGAAAGATCAACAAAAAAGAAAGTATTAAAGTGACTCTATCGGCTTCCCCTCGCCCTTTGGACTTTCTTGTCCAAGGCCACTTTCCTGATTTGATGTCCTCTGGGTGGAAGAGAAAGTTACGGTAAGATCATGGATGGCAGCGGATCCCATTGGCTGTGGTTTTCTTTTCAGAGCTGGTTTTAGAGCCCTCTCTGGGGATGAAGAACCCTCCCCAGCTGGAAGATGATGCACTTGAAGGCTCAGCAAGCAACACACAAGGGCGTCAAGTCACTGGCCGGATTCATGCCTCCCTTGTCCTGATACTGAAGATCATCAAAAGAAGACTCCCGTTCAGCAAGTGGAGACTGGCATTCAGATTCGCTGGCCCGCATGCTTAGAGTGCAGAGGTAATCACATCTATGGCTGATAGCTGCACTCACTTATTTCTCTGTCTATGGTGACAGCTCATTCTCTCACTGCTTTTTCTCTCCCATTTGTTCTCTCCAACAGCTGCTCTAACCTCTGTCTGGTCTTAGCTCTGTGTCCCATGGGCTCCCACCCTGACTGGCCCTTTCTGTACCCATCTCCTCTTTACTCTCTGAACTCTGCTCTATTCCCTTTTCTACTGTCTTGAGAGTCCCTCTCATGGCCACAGGAGAGCCAGGCCTCCTTGTCCCCATCCAAGTGCATAGTTTAAGCTGCTGAACACAGGGTTGTTTGCCCGGAATCACACACTCCTTTGGGAAATTTACCTTTCCTTGCTGCATCCCCAACTCCATTGCCTCTTTTTGCAGAAATCATTGCTTTAATACATCATTTACACAAAGATTTTCCTCTTGAGTCTTCTTTTGAGCAACACAACTAATTCAACTCTTAATCATCACTTGTTCCTCTGAATGAGAAGTGTTAAAACTAAGCACTAAGAGCCCCCCTAGGAAACTAAACTAGAACCAGGGTCACAGGTGGGAGTTCCCTACTGGCCTGGAGTCAGGTTTGTCTTTAGCCCCAGATGTGCAGCCTAGTGCCAACGTGGATGGAGTTGCCAGGGTCTCAGTGTTCTCACCTCATGGACTCACTTGAGCTGATGTTAACTGGGGAACATTTATGACATTCTAAAGGGACATCACTCCAAAAGTACATGCAGAGGGCAGGACTTGAAAACTGCATACATCATGAGGTACATCATTCTAACCTCTCTCCTTTTTATTCTCATTTCCACTTTTCAAGTCCAGTTAAGGGTCTAAAATGCAAGTCAGATGAATCTTGAGGCCATTGTATATGAGAGAACATTTTATGAATTAACTTTGAGAAAAGTGACTCCAGGACCAGCTTTATGCATACACTAGATGACAAGAATCTGTCTACAGGACAGTCTTTGCTTTGGTGCAGCCCAATTGATAAGACAGAGATTTAACTGAAATTGTCAGAGAGAAGGCTAAAATCCATGGAACCACTGGGAACAAAGCCAGTCATGAGATAAATGGGGAAAGGAAAGAAAATGATGGGAAATTGGGCTGGTCCATTTAGTATCTCTAAATCCTGCTGCCATGTAATAAGCACCTGGTGAGATTTCAATTAAGATGAATGCCTTCAACTTACACTTAGAGATTCTCACTTACATGGCCTGGGGTGTGGTCTGAGCATCTGTAGTTTCAAAATGCTCCCGTGTGATTCTAATATGTGGCTAAAGATGAGAAGGACCCCTGGTCTACTATGACCTCAGGTTACCAACACGGAAGTGCCACATATGTGTGGCTACTCCATAGAAAAGGCTGAGCCTCTATCAGACTTTGATGGGATCTGTAGTCCCCTCTCAATAGTACTCTTCGTATAGCATAGAAAAAAGTCAAGAAGAAAAACAAGAAAATTAATAGATTAGACTTTTAGCCTCTGCTTGAAGCACACTTGCTGAATTTTGAATACAAGATAAGTAAGAAATAGTCATGATATTAACACCTAATGTATGGAAATAATACCTGCCATATTACATATAGTGGAATTTAGTATTTTCTTTTTGCATTTTAAAATAAAACTTCCAGTTTACATTTCCCCACACCCATTTTATAGCCTACCAATGGTCTCACCACTGCAATGTGAAAATTTTACTTTTGGTCAGTTATTGTCCTTCTGCAAAATCCCTAAAGAGAACTCATTGGTCCCCCTGTCCTGAAGAGCATACAATAACAAATTAAGACTGAAATGCTGCAAGAGATTGTATATGAATACTTCTTCATGCCTCTCTTCACACTGGCATAAAATATTAAAAAGAAACCTTTCTCATAATGTACTTGGGGAAAACAATAAGTGGGACGGGAGACTGTAGTAAAACACAAACTAATCCTTTCCACTTTGTACTTCAGAGTTTTCTTGGTCTAGATATTGAGAATATTTCTAGAAATGCCTTAAGGTGGAACCGGATGTGGAATCAACTTCAGGGCATTAGGGAAAATAAGTTGGGCCATGGTTACAGTCCCTGTTCTCCCTCACTTTGCTAACTCCATTTTGAGTCTCTTTTTTTAAACTCCCTTTCTTTCCTGATGACCTTTGGACAAAAACTTATAATTATATATATTTTTTATGTTTTTAACCAACCAAAGAAACAGCAGCAACATCACATTTATCTGTAAAACCTTATTTCTGTCCTAGCCAAGGTGACCCAACCACCACTCATGACTGTTGAGACCTCCAGATTGGAGCCTTTCCTCTTGCTTTCTCCAATCTTTATTGAAAGGCCTTAGTGAGTGGATTCTAATTCCTGGGTTGTCAATAGCAAGTCATGTGGCCTTAGTTCAATCTTACCCCTGTGGCGTCACTACTCCTCTGTTGTAAAATGTGGACCTGGACGTGGATGTTGTCTGAGGTTTCTGCTGCTTCTCATATCCAGGGTTCTTCCCATGGCCCTCCCACTCCTCCCTAGAAGACTAGGACATGGAGTTGTAAGGGGGTGGGTTTCTCTGCAGAGGCTCCTGTCCTTCTGCTCCCCTCTGTTTCTTGGCATGCATGATTGATGCTGAGTACATGCTCACTGGGAGGAAAAGCCATCACTCTGCTCCAGACAGAGGGGATCAGGAGGAAAGGGGATGATGTTGCCCACTGCTGGTTGGGCATAGGTGGGGTCCTTATATCCTGCACCCCAGGCTGACTGGAAGTTCAGGAGTGTTTTCTTCTCACTTGTGGATGGTGCTTCCCCCTTCCGACAGCCCAGGACTCACCCTTCAGCTCAACCTCCCAGCAGGAGATCCCAGTGAGATATCACTGCTTAGCAATCCCTCCAGACTCAGCCATCAGGTGGACCTGACAAAAATGCTCATTTGATTTTTTTCTCTCTCTCCTCTACAGATACCAAATACTGCTGGAAGGATGCAAAGGATGATAGGATGAAAGAATGTCACAAAAAGCAGCTTTTCCACTTGATAAAAACAACTAAAACGCAAAGCAAGTTCAAGTCCCAACACAATACTGCAGGGGTCCTTCACTGAGGATTGAATTTCAGACACAGAATACTCTTGATGACTTCAAGCCACTATGCTCCTTTGATTTGAGAAGCCACATTCCATCCCCCTCCAATTGTGATCAATACCTAGGGAGACCAATGCCCAGATGGACAAATAGCATTGACAGGCGTTAGCCCTGTTTCTCAATTCCCATCATGTAGAGAACAGGAGTCCGCAGCTGCTGGCAGGACACAGCATGTCAGCCGGGACTCTGCCAGGGCAGAGTATGAGCAATGCCATGTTCTTGCTGAAAACGCTTAGCCTGAGTTTCATAGGAGGTAACCCTCAGATAACTGCAGAATGTAGAACATTGAACAGGACAACTGACCTGTCTCCTTCAAACAGTCCATGTCACCACCAAGAACACAACAAAAAGGAGAAGAGACATTTTGAGTTCAAAAAGAGTAAAAAGCCTATGCAGCTTATGCTTTTTTAGTCATTTTGAACCCAAAACATCTCCTCATCTTTTTGTTGTTGTCATTGATGGTGGTGACATGGACTTGTTTGTAGAGGACAGGTCAGCTGTCTGGCTCAATGGTCTACATTCTGAAGTTATCTGAAAATGTCGTCATGATTAAATCCAGCCTAAACATTTTGCCAGGAACTCTGCAGCGTCCATGCTGTAGCTTCCTACCTCAGTCCATCTGCAGGCAGAGAAGGCCCAGTGTGTCCATCCCCAATGCGGTGATACTAGGATGGTCACTTGGTTAAGGAGGGGTCTAGGAGCTCTGTCCCTTGTAAAGACATCTTATTTGTAAGTAATTTGGAAAGTGGTGTGAAATAGTATAAATATCCTGTATTCTAATGATCTTCTTCAGAACATTTTATCACCAATTAATCACCCCGCCTGTGTCAGTTATTATATTTATGTTTGCACAATGAAAATTTTCTATCTCAAAATATTACCTTATACTTGCTTTTGCTGGCATTCTTCGTAAAAAAGATTATTCCCTGCCCAAATTTTAACTTTCATCCAAAATTAATTTTAATTTCTTTTTGCTGGCATTCTGTTGTGAAAAAGAATATTCTCTGCCCCAATTATCACTTTCATCCAAAATTAATTTTAGTCCATCAGTTAAAATTTTAAGTTTTAAATCTGTTTAATTAAAACATTTCTTGCCTCTCACTCTGGACTATTGGATTTTTTACATATAATGTTTTAAGCTTTCATTATTATGATTGATTTTGGTGGATAAGAATTTAGATTAATAAAAACATTCTTATTTCCTTGTTTATATTCAAAACTCTTCCATGTTCTAGTCTATGTTTACCGTATGTGGTAGATTGTATTTCCTGTATTTCTTTGTTGATGTTATTTGTTTTCTTTTTGTGTTTGTGTAAGTGTGTGTGCTTTTTGTTTGTTATTTAGGAAGAGTTGTATAGCTCCCATTTAACATTGCACTGAAAAGGTTTTAACGTCACTAATCCCCTTTTAACTTGACACATTTCTACTGTTTGGTTTATACATTTTAAATTATTTCTTTGAATGTCAAATTTTTACCACTATGACAATCAAAGACATCATTTTCCTCTTCTCTAACCTCATTACCTACCATTTCTTATTTTTTATTTTAACCCAAACATAAAGTGACAGCCTATGTGACACCTTGGTTTTTGGTTGAGATCTACATTTAAATATGTTGATGCACATGAGCTGTTCAAAAGTGTGTCCTAAGCATCACTTGTTGAGTGGAATTTATCCTTAACAGAGTCCTCATGAGGGAATCAGATCTCGCTGAGTTTTACATACTTAATCATAAACTTTTCCCAATGTCTTGATACATGGATTGCATCACTGGATATAAGGTACTTGCCAAAAATGACTTTTGCTTGGGATTTTAGGAAATATTGTCTGGCTTTGGGGGACAGGCCTGTGTGCTCGCAGTCTGGGATTCTATTTTGTTCAACCAGGACCTTTAATTTCTGCCAGTTACTTCATTCATTCTCTTCACCACAAGTCTCCAGAGGATGCTCCCTTTGTCCAGGCCCTCCCCGTCTCCCAGCGATTCTGCCCTTTGAAGATTGGCCCCTCTGGTCCTCTGCACTGTGAAGCCCCTGCCTTTCAATTCCCCAGTAGCAGGGTTCTGACCCACCAGGTCTCAGGCCTGATCTGTGTTTCTCCACACTCTCTTTCTGAGAAAGGTTTTACCTGTGTTTTGTCATTAACAGGCCCTCGCTGCTGTGCTGGCCTCTATTTGCATGGTGTTTCCTGCTCCCTGTGCTGTTATGTGGCTCCCAGACCTGGCTAAATAAAATCACTTGGGGTCCCCAGTGTTCCCTAGCCCTGGTTGGGGGCAGGAGTATGGGTGGTATTTTTGACTCTGTGTTAATCCCTAGGGCTTTGAAGTGTATGTGGAGAAATTCAGCTATGATTCGATCCTACTTCTTCAAATGCAGAACCTCAGCAGTATAAAAAAGGAGACAGAATCCTATACTAGAAAATCCCCATAATCACTGGCCAGCTTCAACAATTATCATCGAATGGCTGAGCTTTACAAAATCCAATCCTTCCTACCTACCTATGAAGTGTGTGTGTGTGTCTATACGTATATATTAATATATATGTATGTATATGTATATGGCATATGTGTGTGTGTGTGTGTGTGTGTGTGTGTGTGTGTATACACACAGTTTAGACATGAGATTCTGGAGGCTGAAATTCCCAAGATGGAAAGGGGGATACCCAGGAAAGTATTTCCTTCTTATTAGGCCTTTTACTTCTCCTCTAGCCTTTGGTTGATTGGTTGGGGCCCACTCATCTTAGGGAGGGCAATCTGCTTCATGTAGACTGCCTATTCCTGTGTTAATGTCATCCAGAACCCACCTCCAGTACAAACACAGAATAACATAGGAACGAATGTCCTGGCACCCTGGGGCTCGGTCACAGTGACACACAACCATCACACAAGTTCTTTGCCATATTACGATTTTCACATTCTTCTCTCAATCTGTAGGATGTCTTTTTATTCTATGAATAGTGTCCTGTGCTGACCAAGAATTTTTAATTTGTATAAAGTTGAATTTACTAATGTTTTAATAGTTTTGTTGATGTGATAGCTAAGAATACTTAGCCTAACTCCACATCATGAAGATTTTCTCTTATGTTTTCTACTGTAAGTTCTCTAGTTTTGCAGTTTACATTTAGTTCTGTAATTAATTTTGATTTAATTGTTGTGCATGTATGGAGGTTTAAGTGGATTTTTAAAATCGTTGTTTAGTTTTTTCCTTCAACTTTTAAGTTCAGGGGTACATGTGGAGGATGTGCAGGTGTGTTACATAGATGAACATGTGCCATGTGGTTTGCTGCACAGATCATCTCATTACTTAGGTGTTAAGCCCAACATCTATTAGCTACTATTCCCAATGCTCTCCCTCCCCCCTCCCCCATCCCTCACTTCTGACAGGCCCCAGTGTGTGTTGTTCCTCCCATGTGTCCATGTGATATCATCATTCAGCTACCACTTATAAGTGAGAACATGTAGTGTTCGGTTTTCTGTTCCTGCATTAGTTTGCTGAGGATAATGGCTTCTAACTTTAACTGTGTCCCTGCAAAAGACATGATCTCGTTCCTTTTTATGGCTGCATAGTATTCCATGGTGTATATGTACCACATTTTCTTTATCCAGTCTATCATTGATGGGCAATGAAAACCATAAACCCCAAATATCCCAGAAAAATAGTGTATCCTAAGGACAAGAAACATGAAGAAAACTACACCAAGGAACACCATACTCAAATTGATCAAAACCAGTGATGAACAGAAAATCCTAAGAGGAATAAAAGGAGAAAAAACACATTGCATACAGAGGAGTAAATGTAAGGATGACATTCAATTTCTTATCAGAACCATTACAAACTAGAAGTTTGCAATAGTTTTTAATACTGAAAAAAAACACAAGCAATCAAAACTGACATCTGAATAGACTTCTAAAACTAAAGAGATTGAATTAGCAATCAAAAAAATTATATGCCAACAAAAGCCTGGGCCCAGACGGATTCACTGCTAAATCCTACCAAATATCTAAAGAAGAGTTGATAACAACTTTTCACAAACTCTTCCAAAAATACAGGAGAGAACACTTCCCAGCTTATTCTGTGAGGCCAGTATTACACCAACACTGAAACCAAAGACATCACAAGAAAACTACAAATGAGTATCATCTTTAAATACGGACACAAAATCCTCAACAAAATATTAGCAAACTGAATCCGGTAACATCTGCAAAAATTATACATCATGACCAAGTGGGATTTATCCCAGGGATAGAAGGTTAGTTTAACATCTGAAAACCAACTAAGGTAGCATCAGTAGAAAATAAACCAAAACTAATGTGATAATCTCAATAGACATGGGAAAGGCATATGGCAAAATTCAGTATTCTTTCAACAAACAAGGAATAGAAGGGAACTTCCTCAACCTGATAGAGGACATCTGTGAGAAAACTTCAGCTAACATCATGTTTAGTGGTGACAGACTGAATGCTTTCACCTTTAGATTAGGAATAATACAAAGATGTCCACTCTCACCACTTGTATTCAATGTTGTACTGGAGATAGTAGCCAGGACAATTAGGTAAGAGAATGAAATAAAAGGTATCCAGATTGGAACAGAAGAAGTTAAACTACCTTTATTTGCAGATGTTATGTTCTTATATGTAGAAAACCTCAAGGAACGTACTAAAATACTACTAGAATTAATAAATTCATCAGGGTTACAGGACATGAGGTCAGTACTTAACAATAAATTGTATTTCAGATTTTCAGATTAGGGATACTCAACTTATACACTTAAGTCTCTGGACAGTGAAATCATGAGTATTTTTTCTTCTGTGATCTCCTACATTTTCTATATGGTAAATACGTGCCAGTTTCATAATCAGAAATGAAATTACAAAGATCATTTAAAAATAGCAAAAGAAATTGGTATGAAGGAGATAAATTTAAGTTCGCTGAAAAAAATCATTCTAATATAACCCAGTTAGCTAATGTAGTTTCTTTGTTTTTAAGATTAATTGCTTAGACAGCATGTAATCAGAATAAAACAGGTGTATTTTAATCTATTTTTAAAATTTAGTAATTTTATAATAGTTGATTTTCTTAGTCACCACTACTTTCATAAATAACCTTTGTTCTTCAAGGTGGAGCATGGTAATATTTCCATGCAAGCAAAATGTTGTTTATAATGCTGTTCATTGATGCATCCTGTCGGGTCGCAAAAGGCTACCTGGAAGTTTGTGAAAGATGTTTGGTGGGTAGCAGAAAGTTGTGAGGCTTAACAAATAAATTTGGCTAAATAAAATTCTGATGGGTGCACATAGTAGCCAGTACTCCAATTCATTCATGTGCATTCTGGATTACTGCAGCCACGTCATAATTAGGGTGGTAATGACTTAATAAACCAAATAATTGAATGGGCTGGTGGCTCACACCTGTAATCCCAGCATTTTGGGAAGCCAAGGCAGGTGGATCACTTCAGGACAGGAGTTCGAGACCAGCCTGGCCAACATAGTGAAACCCAGTCTCTACTAAAAATACAAAAATTAACTGGGCGCGGTGACGCATACCTGTAATTCCCACTACTTGGGAGGCTGAGGCATGAGAATCACTTGAGTCCAGGAGGCAGAGGTGGCAATGTGCCAAGATTGCTCCATCGCACTCCAGCCTGGGCGACAGAGCAAGATTCTGTCTTGAAGAAAATAATACTGATAATCCAAATCGTTTTTTAGATTCAGCGATACAAATGAAGAACAATGGTCTTCATTTCTCTACTTCTATTTTTGGTAGCACTGTTATTGTTTTTAGACCAATATACCTTTTTTTAAATTAAAAAAGATTGTTTTAGAGTCGGTGTCTCACTCTGTCACCCAGCCTGGAATGCAGAGATGTGATCGTGACTCACTGCAGCCTCAAACTCCTGGGCTCAAATGATCCTGTCACCTCAGCCTCCTGAGGAGCTGGGACTACCAGGCATATGCCACCAAATCTGGCCAGCTTATGCTTATTTTTAAACATTTTTTCTTAAGAGAAGACATAATGGCATTTAGTGTGATAGTATATTCTAAACAATTTATGATGATGATTTTTGTCCTCAAACACATGTTATTACTTCCAGTATAATTCTTCTGTCTGCAGAAGAGTGAGGACAAAAGGTATTGCTCTCTTCCGCCAATAATAGTATTCTTGAGTTAATGGAGTGCTTTAGAGTGTAGTGTGTGTATCTCATGATTCTTTCAATATTCTTTGGAGGATGGCAGAGCAGGCATTATGAATTTGGTCTTGTACATAAGGAAACTGGAACTTAGAGATTTTCAGTTAATTTGCTAGAAGATGAAGATGTCTAAGAGAAGGAAATGTGAACTAAGATGATATTTAGAAAGGACAAGGTGGTTGGAACCAGACAAACATGGATATGAGTCATGATTCTGTCATTTGGGAAAGTCACTCAATCTCACTGATAATCACTTTTCACATACATAAAAAAAGGTATTAAGTCCAACTTTGAGGAAATGTTATAAGACTTAAATAAGAATAATACATGTTAAGCATCTAGAATTTAGGATGTTTCTTTAACAGCTATCTCCGTTCATTTCTCTTAAATATCTTTATGTTTAGGAGACAGTTGTAGCTGAATATTTTAAGTCTGGAAACAAGCATGACTGGCAGATGCAATTATAGACAATTTTAACTGTGATTCCCCGGGTCACTTTGAATTTCTTCTGTGGGATAAATTCTTCCCTTGCTCTAGATGAAAGGGCAACTCCTACAACTTACCACTTCCAGTCAATGAAAGCTTCTTCCAAAAAGGAATTCATATGTTAGACCCAGAGTGGTCATCAAAACTTTAACCTCAATTTCAAGTTAAAACTTCTTCTCCCTGCACTCAGGCCAGCTCAGACCAAAAGCCTGCAGTAGAGAAAGTGGATGTGTTTGCCTGTTTCTTTTTTCTCCATCTAGGATTCTTCCTTCTCTAGCTCGCTAACCACATCAGAGTCACAATAGGATAGCGAGGAGAGGAAGCGGGCAGTTAGCAGGTTCTTACTTGACACTAATACAGTTGTGAGTAGCCCTATATTCTCTGCCCTGAGAGCTTTTAAAGCCCTCTCTTTCTCTTATGGGTCTGTTTTGTGAGTTATGTGGAGACTCCCTACCCCACCTGTTACTATGGATCTCTCATGTAGTTGCTTAGTGGGGATCATGTACTCTCCCACTGGCTGGTCACTTATGTCTCCTTTTTTAGGTGCTAGACATCTGATGGTGCCTCAACAATTTTTCCCCTGCTGAAATCTGTATTTCTTCCAGAAATCCCTTTCAGAAAAAAATCTAAGACAACCCCACCCTGGCTGTCTTGCACAGCTCGCATCTGGTACAGGAGAAAAATTCACATATTCTTTGTTTCAACAAACTCTGAGCAAGTAACTTGCCCAAGGCAGCAACTTCTCTTTCACTTTATTGTGAGAACTGTTAGCTGACATTTCTTAATTATATTTGCTGTGTCCTCAAAACCCATGACACTTGCATCAAACTTTGTGTCTGTCATGAAGAGGGGATAAGAAATGTGGTGTATACATGCAATAGAATATGATTCCGCTTTTAAAAAGAAAGGAATTCTGACATGTTACAAATGAATGAAACTTGAGGACATTATGCTAAATAAAATATGCCTGTCACAAAATGACCAATGTATGATTTACTTATATGAGGTACTTAGAGTAGTGAAATTCATAAATAGAGTAGAATGGTGGTTGCCAGGGGCTTCCAGGAGGGAGGAATAAGAAGTTACTCTTAATGGGTACAAAGTTTCCATTTTGTAAGATGAAGAGTTCTGGAGTTTGGTTGCACTAGTTTGAATGTACTTTATGCCACTGAACTGTACACTTAAAAACGGTTAAGACGGTAAATGTTATGTTATGTGCATTTTACCACAATTAAGAAATAAGGCCAGGCATGGTGGCTCATGCCTGTAATCCAGGCAGTTTGGAAACCCAAGGAGGGAGGATTCCTTGAACCCAGGAGTTTGAGATCAGACGGGGCAAAATAGTGAGACCCAGTGTTTACAAAAAAAAAATTAAAAATTAGTTGAGCATCGTGGTGTACGTCTGTAGTCCTAGCTACTCGGGAGGCTGAGGCAGGAGGATCACTTGAGCCCAGGAGTTTGAGGCTGCAGTGAGCCATGATTATGCCATTGCACTTCAACCTGGGCAACCCCGTCTCAATAAAATAAAGCAAGAAAAGAAAAGAAAACTAACTTTAACCATCTCAGTCCATTTTTGCAGCTTAAAGTCACATTATACACTTCAGGCTTAAATAGATGACTGAGTCATGGATAAATCATTCACAGGAATCATAAAAGTCCTGATTCAATATGAACCTTTAATTTTATTATTGGTGGAAGGATGCTGATGTAATCGATTTTGCAATATATAATATAATTTTAAAAGATAAATGTGTTACATTTCTTTTGTTGTTGTTTTCTCGTTATATTGTAGTGCACAGTGAGTGAATATGGACAGAGAATATTTTTTAAAACAAAAAAAGTGTTACACTCAGGTTTTAAATCATATTTTAGTTCTGTATCATTTGTTGGTGTATTTCAAGGATCTATAACTGTAGTGATGTACTTTCAAAAAGTAAAGATCCACTTATTTTTCTTTCCTCTTACCTCCTCCTGCCTGCATTCACCTTTCAGCTTTCATAATCTATCCGAGAGCCATTCTTCAGCTTTAAATTACAGCACCCTCTACTGAGCTGTTAGCAACATTACATTGTGGCCGTTTTTCTTTCTTTTTTTTTTTTTTGACACAATAAATTTTATTGTTTCCATAATAATAGGCTCTGGACAAAGACAATGGAGACAATGACAACACATTTAAACTCCTATAACAAATTAATCTGTTACAAATTTCCAGTGGCTCAATATATTAAAATGCAAAATATATAAAGAGAAAAACAAGAAATATAAATATTGAGATTTTTGCAGTACAATGAAATGTCCTTTAAATAAAGTTTGTTGTAATTGTGTATGTAATTCTGACAGTAATTCAAAACACAAAATCACACATTTTCCCTAACTTCCCACGATCTGGATCTGGGGATTGCAATATTACAGAAATATGCAAAAGTAAGTTTAGTGCTCAGAGATAAATAATTTTCCTTATTTCAATGCATCAATGTGCAAAAATTTCAATTCAAAAAAGCCAATCACTGCTATATGCAGATAAATAAAACAGATTTGACAACACTTTTATAATCAAACCCTACACTATAAAAAATAATGTGTGCGTGTGCATGTACATGTGTGTGCATGTGTGTATACAATGCCCATTTTAGAAAAAAGGTGTCTTGATGAAAATGATTTTGAAAATAGTCACTGATACACATTATATACATAACCTTTTATATAAAAAATTAAACTATTTTCAATGAAATTCCATGTTCACATCCTATCTGAAAACTGTAATAGAATCATAAATAGGTCTACTAATGGTTTCTCTCTGAAATCATGGCTAAGGCACTTCTCTTTCCAAGGGTTTTCTTTTATATCCATCTGATATCACTAATACTAATGTAGTCAAGTATACAGATGCAACCTGACATGCCTATGCATTATTACCTGGAGCTCTGTTCACTGTTATAATGGGAGAATTTACAGTTTCTACAAAGAATATTTTTCTTTTTAAAATTATACTGGTTTCTGTATTCCAAATTAAGGACTTACTTAAGACATTAAGTTTTTCCATTAGTGGTTGCCTTTCTTTCAGAAGCAAAATATAATTTTCAAAATCATATTTTGAAAATGCACTACAGAGATGAACTCTCTGCAAATCCAATTGCTCTCAAACTATTTGAAACTTATTACAATTATACATTACTGCAAAGATACAAGTAGTCATGAGCTTGAAGATACAATCAGACTTTAATGTAAAGGACATTCAGTTTTTGGGTATATTTAGCAGAAAAGCACGAAAGAAAATAGCAAAAAGTTCTACTTTAAAAATGAGTAATAGACACTTTAAAATAAGAAATGTGCATTTAAAATTTTTCTCTGCAGAGTGTGTTAGCTGTTAAAATGAATGTTAGGGGAGCAATTTTTAGAGATTCTTAGGTTAATTGTTTTTGATATGACCCAAATTTCTTCTAGCTATAAAACCCTTTAAGTGTGATAAAATTATTTCCTGTATCCCCTGACTAGATGATATGCTGTGGGAAGACTGAGAATTTTGTTGGTTTTCCTTACTGCTGCATCCCCTATATGAAGATCTGTGTACGGCACATAGCAGACACTCAATAAATATTTAATAGTTGAATGAACAAAGTATGTGGGAAGAAATGTCTATTCACACCTGCTTTGCACTTTAAAAGCACAAAAGACCTTATTACGGAACCACTTGTGATTAGTCCTTTTATTTCCATCTTACTTACTGCCCTTTTCTTCTTAGAACTTTGATCACCATTATTATAATATGGTACCGAACTCTTCAGTGTTTGGATCTCTTCTTGTAAAACTTTATATATGTAAGATGAGTGGGGGGAAGTAGTTTACATAAGATAATTCATGTAACTGGCCTTCTCTTTAAATAATTCTATGTAAACTTTTGATTTTTATTATTCTGGTTTATAAATGGTGCCTTTTTGCCATGTTCTCACACGGTAGAAGGGGCTAGGGCATTAATCCCAATCATGAGGGATTCACCCTCATAGTCTATCACCCTCAAAGCCCTCACTCCTAATACTATCACCTTGGGGGTTAGAATTTCAACATATGAATTTGAGGGAGACACGAACATTCAAACCCTAGCTATATTATAATAAATGATTTAATATTTCTCAGTCTCCCTATCTGGAAACTGAGATTAGAAGTTCAATGTAATACATTTCTACCATTATACTGTTGCTTTACTCCCTCCTCTCTACTTGAATTTACTCTACAAACTCCTTTACTATTGTTTTGCCACTTCTCTTTGGCTGTGAAAGTTCCAAATAGGAAATATTCTCTCTCTTCTTTTAATGACAATTGTCCATTAGAGTTGTTAGTAGCTTTGCCCTAACAGATCACCTATCAGCTGCAGGGGCTTTGACTCATGAATGGTTAGTGCCATAGAGATTAGCAATAAAGGTGGAATAGGAAATAAAGGTGACAATGAATACAGGTTGATAAGCCCACATCTCCAGTGATTTGTAATTTATTGGCTAGGACCCAGAATTTAAAATATCCGATAGAGAGAAGTGCCAGTTCAGAATGTCAGCAGTCAGATAAATGTGGTCTCTTTAACTGACAAGATTTAAAACAAAAATATGTAATGTAATATACTTTCACATATTATACAAAAATTTAATGGTATAATGCAATAAAACATTTGTTTTGTATTTTTTGTACAAACAATCCATGATTATTATTAGTTTCATCTTCCTTACCTACTGCCACCATTTACTCAGTTTCAGTTAATATAAGATGATATTTTCTAAAAGACAAAATTCTGAATTGAAATGCAAGATGATTACCTATTAGAGACTTAAAGAACTATCAGATTATCTGTAAACAATTTTGTCATTTTGTTTTTAAAAAGTTAATTGTTGAGCTCTGCCTTCAATTACATTGTCAAATACACAGGCAGTGAGTAGAAGTCATACAAAAATAAATCAAAATCTGTTTTTCTCCTTGCTTTAATGAAGAGCAGTGAAAGTTACATAATCCTAATCTATGAAGAATTTATCTACATAAGCCAAATATGAACCATACATAGGTACAGAGAGAGAGAGAGAGAGACATGACAAGAGAGAGTCAATTTTTATAATGATATAGCACTAGTAAGCTTGAAGAATTTACTTATTTCACCAAGGAAAACTTGTGGGTTTTTTTCCTCCAAAATTAACAAAAAGAAACACTGATAGGGAGAAATACAGCATTTATGTTGCCGTGTATCTTGGGGAACACTGCAGTTTTAGTAACTGGATGCTGTCTTCAGTTTATCATCTTCAAAGCATTTTAACTTTCCTTAAATAGGATTTTCTATAAAGAATTCTACTTCAAATGTACACTTAGCTTGATTTATTCTATATAGCTTAGAGTTTTCCAAGCAATGCTTGAATATAAATTCAATCAAATTCCCAATAGAATGTAAGAATGCACAAATGAAATACAATTCAAATGATATGACTCAAATATTGGGGCCCAAGATTAACATAATTTTTACTATATAGTTGCATCTATATCCCTAATAAAGTATATATAAACATATTTGATCTGGCCAGGTGCAGTGGCTCACGCCTGTAATCTCAGCACTTTGGGAGGCAAAGGCGGGTGGATCACGAGGTTAGGAGATCCAGACCATTCTGCCTAACACGGTGAAACCCTGTCTCTACTAAAAATACAAAAAATTAGCCAGACGTGGTGGCACACGCCTGTAGTCCCAGCTACTCGGGAGGCTGAGGCAATAGAATCGCTTGAATCCGGGACGCGGAGGTTGCAGTGAGCAGAGATCGCGTCACTGCACTCCAGCCTGGGCGACAGAGTGAGACTCCGCCCCCCCCCCAAAAAAATCTATAATTCAAATACCTAATATTTGAAGATAAAATATTTGGAAAATATTAAGAAAAATTCATTCAGGTTTTCCAGAATGAACTCTAATTATCAAAAAGTGCCAATAGATGTTAGAAATTACTGTTATCTTTATAAGCAGAATACAAAATATAAGCATTACATGTAGTTCTGTGAATTTAAAGCAAAATATACAGCATATAGATTGATTCCGTACCTAGAATACAATTTCAATAGAAACATTTCTAACATTTTCCCTAATAACTTGGACAGAGTGTTTGACTTTTTTTGTTGTTTTTGTTTTCAGTAATGAATGAATGAAAAGAAAAGCACATGAAAATATGCTAAAAAATATACATAGCAAATTCTAATAATCTTATTAGACAGAAATTTTATGATATCCTGGTCTATGTGTGTTATTCCTCTATGTTTCTGCAGCTGGTACAGTGCTTTGAACATAAAAAATAATTTAATATATATTTATGAAGTGAATGAACAATTATGTTTTAGTATCTACTGTATATTCAATACTGTAATAAATGACATGAAGGCTACAGAAACATGTGGTCTTCAGAGTGTCCAAATCCTTCTAAAAGTTGTGAAATGAAGCAAATGTGGGGTGGGGGAGGTGCTTTTAAGTCGATATTTCTAAATCCACAGAACCAAAGTAATCTGCTTTTTTTAAAATGTTGAGAATTTTATGTCATAAAGGGACAAATTGAATATCAGACCTGAAAAAGGAAAAGGTAGAACTTGACAGTAACCTAATCAAATGGAAAGAAATACCTAGGGGCTTTAATCATAAGGTAGCTGGGACAGGATTTTGGTGAATCATGGCAAACCAGTCACAGAAGGAAGTGTTGACAGTACCCATTCTCTGAGCTTTCTAGTGGGAGGTGGCTCTTCTAAGAAACCTCCAATATCCTGACCTGATTTTTAAGATCAGTTTTCATGTGAAGAAACATAGATTATAAACATGGAGGATTTGGTGTCCCATTGGTAAGACCATTCATACAGTAAGATGGATGAATCAGGCTATTTTAGCATTTTGTCTTTTTAAATATCTGATTTTTCTCTCAGTTTTCTAATATTATGCTCAAAATCCCCTGATTATTACATAGCTCCTTATATAGATTTTCTAAAGGAGAATAATATATTTGTCATAATTTATGTAGACCCAGAGTATGCCTGCTATTTAGTAGTAATTTCTCACTGGAAATTAATAAGTAATTTGATGATTATTTTATTTCCTCATGGAAAGAAAATGAGCTAACAAGAAGATAGGGCTATTCCCTATCTTCTATGAAAGTCTATGAAAGATACATATGTCATTATTAATTTTACAAAGCAATTTCATAACCTAGGTCATTACGAGTTTACCTCTAAGAAATAGATTTTGTTGATATGTACTGAGAAGTCAAGGATCTGAACCTGTAATATGGAAAGACTGCCCTTGGACCTTGGAAAATGCACCAGATACTAAATGCCACTCACTAGACTATTGGGAAATAGATTTTCCCAGGGGTACTTGACATTACTGCATAATGTTCCTTTTAAACAACAACTAAGAAATCTGGAACTGAAGCCAAATTATGGTGTAAACAAGAATCAAAATTATTTGCCATTAGTAGCCTGTACTATCACTGTTGCTTCTTGTTGTTTTGTAACATTGGCTTCTTACATAAAGAATTCATCAGCAGCAACCTTTAAATCTGATGATCTAATGAAGTGAGAAAAGACAATGGCCTATAAAGAGCAAATGGCACCTGGAGGTAATAGAGGGTGCTGCCTCCCTCTCTCCTCTACATGCTGCCACTGCACTAGAATTGGCAGAGGCTAGACATGTTATAATGTCTGCATAGACTGGTTTACAGTAATATTTATCCTCTTTTGCCTCACTTAACCATACCTTTTCAAACAAGTGTTACTTTTACTTTTCCTCTCAGAAAAATCCCCATTATGTTATTTTTAAATGTGTATTCTACAATTGGCATTAAAATCAGACAGACTGGATGGGTGTGGTCGCTCATGCCTGTAATCTCATCACTTTGGGAGGCTGAGGCAGGTGGATCACTTGAGTCCAGGAGTTTGAGACCAGCCTGGCCAACATAGCGAGACCACATGTCTACAGAAAACACAAAAATTAGCCGAGTGTGTTGGTGTGTGCCTGTAGTTCCAGCTACTCAGGAGGCTGAGGCACAAGAACTGCTTGAGCCCAGGAGGCAGAAACTGCAGTGAGCTGAGACTGGGCCACTGCACTCCAGCCTGGACAGTAAAGTGAGACCTTGTCTCAAAAAAAGTAAAAAAAAAAAAAAAAATAGGCAGATGTTAATTCCAATATCATTTTGGCCATAATTTAGTGTGTAACCAGAGGAAAGCTGAGGATCCTAATAGCCTTCACTCTACTGAATGAAAACAGTATCTGCTATGCCAGTGAGGGATCACCAGGCTTTTTTGAAGGTCCTCTTAGTGATTGGCTAGGTTCTTTCTGTGGTTACTACTACATATGGAACAGGAACATCTTTCTAGATAGAGATATTTAGTCAAATTCAAAAGTATAAATTATAATAGAACTTATATTTTGAGTGGAAAAATTGTTTAAAATTATGAATTATAACCTTTAAAGTTGAGGAAATACTTTCCCTACTCTAGACAATTTCTAGTTTGAAGCAGTTTCTTTTTTATTTTTAAATAATATAAGTCCTCTTATATCCATGTGCTTAATAAGGTATTTGGGTTTCTGTGCTACATAGTGACCAGAAAGTTTTCTAAGCACGGTTAGGGAAGTTATTGTTTTTCCTTTTTGTTTTGTTTTTTACAATATTTTTAAATAAGCAGTTTGCAAATTTGCCTCTAGATTCTTCACATCTATAAAACTTAATGAGTCTCTCATAAATTACAGACCTCATGACTCACAAAAGGTATAATTATTTTATTTGTTGAGTGGAACATGTGAACATAACTTTTCAATTTAAAAATAATTCTATATAATATAGCCCTGGGGTTTAAATTCACCACTTATTTTTCATGAATTACTTTAGTAAAACATTCTTTTCCTAGAGTTGATTTCAAAATATTATTCGTCCACTCTATGTTAGGACCATATTGATGTACTAGTAGATGGAAATGGTATTGGGAAAGTCGCCAGTGAAATAAATGACTAAAGACAGAGCTTAAAAGTATGACATACACAAATTGAAGACTAGATTGATGTTCTTTTTAGTCCACAAATCAATTCAATATAATCGCTTGCCTAAGAAAATATTTCATTTGACTAAGTTTGCAGTGATATTTTTAACCCAACTTTTCTCGAAGACACAGCTTATGTGGCCTAAAGAATTGCCAGCACATAAAAAAATCTCCAACATAAAACGACAGTCAGAGGGGAAGGTCAGTTGGAATGGAATGAAGAGTGTCTGTCCACTTGAAATGGCAGTCTTTTATTGCTATCTGCTGCAGATAGGCTTAAAGATTTTACAAGATCAGATCCGTGAAAGTGATCAATCTCTAAGAAGTAGAGCCATTAAAGGGTGTTAAGATAGCAAAATCAAAGCAAACACAAGTACATTTCTTACTTCTTAGTACCTTGAACCCTGGATGGGACTGCTTCAAAAAAGCAGGTCTTAGAAAACAGATCCACAGTGAAGTAGCTCAGTGTTAAATTCTGAACATTGTCCTGACATATTTGGTAAAGATAATAAAATCATAATAATTAGTATCAGTAGCTAACATCTTCAGCTGCTGATATTGTTTGGCTGTGTCCCCACCCAAATCTCAACTTGAATTGTATCTCCCAGAATTCCCAAGTGTTGTGGGAGGGTCCCAGGGGCAGGTAACTGAATCATGGAGGCTGTCTTTCCTATGCTTTTCTCATGACAGTGAATAAGTATCATGAGATATGATGGGTTTATCATGGGTTTCCGCTTTTCTTTTTCCTCATTTTCTCTTGCCACTGCCATGTAAGAAGTGCATTTTCCTTCCCACCATGATTCTGAGTCCTCCCTAGCCATGTGGAACTATAAGTCCAATTAAACCTCTTTTTCTTCCCAGTCTCAGGTATATCTTTATCAGCAGCATGAAAATGGGCTAATACAGTAAATTGGTACCAGTAGAGTGGGCATTGCTGAAAAGATATCCAAAAATGTGGAAGCAACTTTGGAACTGGGTAACAGGCAGAGATTGGAACAGTTTGAAGGGCTGAGAAGAAGACAGGAAAATGTGGGAAAGTTTGGAACTTCCTAGAGGTTTGTTGAATGGCTTTGCCCAAAATGCTGATAGTGATATGGACAATAAGGTCTAGACTGAGGTGGTCTCAGATGGAGATGAGGAACTTGTTGGGAACTGGAGCAAAGGTGACTCTTGTCATATTTTAGCAGAGACTGGTGGCATTTTGCCCCCGTCTTAGAGATTTGTGGAACATTAAACTTCAGAGGGATGATTTAGGGTATCTGACAGAAGAAAGTTCTAAGCAGCAAAGCATTCAATAGATGACTTGGGTGCAGTTAAAGGTATTCAGTGTTATAAAGGAAGCAGAGCATAAACATTTGGAAAATTTGCAGTCTGACTATGCAATAGAAAAGAAAAACCCATTTTCTGGGAAGAAATTCAAACTGGCTGCAGAAATTCGTATAAGTAGCAATGAGCCTAATGTTAATCCCCAAGACCATGGAGAAAATCTCTCCAGGCCATGTCAGAGACCTTCACTGCAGCATCTCCCATCACAGGCCTGGAGGCCCCGGAGGAAAAAGTGTTTTTGTGAGCCAGGCCCAGGGTCCTCATGCTGTGTGCAGCCTAGGGACTTGGTGCCCTGTGTCCTAACTGCAGCAGCCATGGCTGAAAGGGGCCAACATACAGCTTGGGCTATGGCTTCAGAGGGTGGAAGCACTAAGCCTTAGTAGCCTCCAGCTGGTGTTGAGTCTGCAGGTGCACAGAAGCCAAGAATTGAGGTTTGGGAACCTCCGCCTAGATTTCAGGAGATGTACGGAAATGCCTGGGTGACCAGAAAAAAGTCTGCTGCAGGGGTGGGGCTCTCATGGAGAACCTCTGCTAAGGCAGTGTGGAAGGGAAATGTGGTGTCAGAGCTCCCACACAGAGTCCCTACTGGGGCACTGCCTAGTGGATCTGTGAGAAGAGGGCCATCCTCCTCCAGACCCCAGAATGGGGTCTACCAGCTTATACCATATCCCTGGAAAAGCTGCAGACTCCTCAAGCCCATGAAATCAGCTTGGAGGGAGGCTATTCCCTGCAAAGTCACAGAGGCAGAGCTGCCCAAGACCATGGAAATCCACCTCTTGCATCAGACTGACCTGGATGTGAGACCTGGAGTCAAAGGAGATCATTCTGGAACTTTAAAATATGACTGCTCTGCTGGATTTTGGACTTGAATGGGCCCTGTAACCCTTTCATTTTGGTCAATTTCTTCCATTTGGGATGGCTGTATTTACCCAATACCTGTACCCCCATCGTATCTAGGAAGTAACTAGTTTGCTTTTGATTTTACAGGCTCATAGGCAGAAGGGACTTATTTTGTCTCAGATGAGACTTTGGAATGTGGACTTTGGGTTAATGCTGAAATTACTTAAGACTTTGGGGGACTGTTGGGAAGGTATGATTGGTTTTGAAATGTGAGGATATGAAATTTGGTGTGGCCAGGGGCAGAATGATATGATTTGGCAGTGTCCCCACCCAAGTCTCAACTTGAATTGTATCTCTCAGAATTCCCACATGTTGTGGGAGGGACCCCAGGGGAGGTAATTGAATCATGGGGACCAGTCTTTCCGGGGTATTCTTATGATAGTGAATAAGTCTTATGAAACCTGATGGGCTTATCAGGGGTTTCTGCTTTTGCTTCTTCCTCATTTTCCCTTGCAGCTGCCATGTAAGAAGTGCCTTTCACCTCCTGCCATGATTCTGAGGCCTCTCCAGCCATGTGGAACTGTTAAGTCCAATAAACCTCTTTTTCTTGTCACTCTCAGGTATTTCTTCATCAGCAGCGTGAAAACAGACTAATATAGATACATTTAAAAAATCTCAAGGCTTTCTTAATGGACACAAAAGTTATGCTATTGATATAAAAAGCAATAACTGAGAATGCAACTTTCTTGGTTCCTTTTACTTCTTGGTTCTCACTGCTGTTCCTGACAACAAATTTCAAGATAACATCATGTAATGGCAATTCTAAAAAACTGAGATTTCCCAAGTGGTTTTACTGAAAACCTGCCCAGAAGAAGTTTAAAAAAAAAAGTCTTGAATAAATTTCTTCACAACTTATTGCAAAGAAAATCCTCAAGATTTACAACATTAACATATTAAGTCTCAGAGTGTGTTATTTTGTTTTTTTAATTTTTCAAATATGTTTTATTTTAGAACCATAATTTTCATGAACACATATTGGCCTCCACTGGCATTATGATTTCTAGAAATGTCAAAGCTACAGCAATGAGCATCCAATAGAATAATGCCCCAAAGCCAAGGGAAGAGAACATTCAGGTTTACTTCTTGAGACCCTCAGCTTCAATCCCTCTCTCACCCACAAAATAATATATAGCAATATAACATACTGAATCTGAAGAATTAGGTTATATATGAGAAACTGAAATGTACTAATCTAAACTAAACGTAAGCTAATCTAAATTAGTAAAAAACATTACTCAGAGAAAATTAAAGTTTTTTTAAATGTAAAATATATGTCCAGTGTATGTTTTATCACTAGATATGATGAAGGAATAATTAAAATTTTAGTATCTCATATTTTATGTACAATATCAATGGAACATACTGGGAAAATTATCTGTGTTATAAAAGTTAATCCTGCTATTTGGACTATTTGCCAAGACACCACCTCTGATTTTATATTCAGGGACGGAAACAGACAACAGGCATTTTATTTAATTATTCCCATTGTACTGTGCACTGGAGGAAAAATCAAATGCATTAGCTTTGTAATATCTCACAAGGACAAGGCAAGGCAAGAAACACCTGTTTTTATATGCATATTTCATGGTTGCTGAAAGTTGAAATTTACTTTTTGAAATATGTACAAAGATAGGAGTAGGAAATGCATTTTTAAACGGCACAGTCAGCATTCAATATCTTAAAACCATTACAGCCTAGATATTTAATATTGCTCGCAAAATTAGTCCAGATAAGAAGTATCAGTTTTATTTGTATATAAAGAAGACGTATTTAAATAATGCTAGTAAACCAGGATGAATCATGAACATTTTTCTATAACATTTTAAGTAGTAAAGAGTAGTGAAGAGTACACAGAACTACAAATTCATTGTATTTCAGGGATCATTTTTTATCTAAAGAAACCATGAAGGGACTATCAAGATTACACTTGTTGATACTACCAAAGTGGAATTTAGTAGAAAACAAGAAAATGTCATAGTATATTTCTGCTAGGCTTATTAAAAATTGAAACAATCTTGTCTATACTATATTCCTATTCTTTTTATTTTGTATAAAGTATTTATTTTAAGAATTGTTTCAAGAGATGACCATCAATAATCAATGAGCAATAGCTCTATGTAAGGTATTAACCAGGACCTGGATTTTCAGCATTTCTGTCAAAGACTTGAACTTAAAAATAAAATAAAATATATTTTATCTATTTAATTGATTTCCCATGTAAACATCAACAATCTCTAGGAAAAAATAATAAAGTTAAGTAGTTAATTTTAAAATAAAGAATTAAAAAACTAGAATACAAAAAAATAACTTAATGGGCCAAGCACGGTGGCTTATACCTGTAATCCCAGTACTTTGGGAGGGCAAGGCAGGAAGATTGCTTGAGCCCAGGAGTTCAACACCAGCCTGGACAACATGGTGAAATCCCATCTCAACTAAACATACAAAAAAAAAAAAAAAATTACCTGAGCAGAGTCATATGCCCCTGTAGTCCCAGCTACTAGGGAGGCTGAGGTGGGAGAATTACCTGAGTCCAAGGAAGTCAAGGCTACAGTGAGCTATGATGGCACCATTGCACTCCAGCTTGAATGACAGAGTGAGACCATGTCTCAAAAAAACCCAAACAAACATATGAATTGAATAAATTAATAAACTATTAACTTACAGCTTTGCCAAATGTGATAGTCTCACAGCTTTCCCAAATGTGATAGTCTCAAAGCCCAGATAAATGGTATTAATAAGTTATAAAGATAAACATTCCATGATCATCTAGTTGCATGTAATAGCTATTAGTATCATACAGCATAGATGAAATAGTATATTTTTATTTGAGTAACAATATCTAACAGATATTAGAAAAAGTTTAATTAATTACATCATAAACTTCTCATAGAAATAAAAAAATGATTACCTTGTGTGAGAGCTTCATCACAAAGGTAAGTGAATGAGGTCAGAGCTATTAGCTGTTTGCAGAATAAATAATAAGAAGAGTAGTTTAATACATAAGTCCAGTTAATATTGAATATTATCAGTCTTTTGAGATTTTATGAACGGATGGTAAATTTTCACTTTACTTGTTACCTAATTCTCTAAGAAATCTCATGTAAAGAATCAATGTTGATGTAATTATGTTAGTCCTCAGTATTAATAATATATTCTTATTCAAATAATTAAATGTTAGTGTATAGTTAGTGACCTTTATATTGCACAGGATTGGTTTAAGAAAAATCAATATCGTGAAAGTTTTATGTATCTGACTTCAAACTAGCATCTCTTTGCCCACTTAGATAATATGATATTTTCATAATATCATTTTGCAGATAAAATCTGACTTGCTAAGAATAATTGCATCAATTAGTCCCCTTTTCACCTTTCTGGAAGGGCCATTGCTTCACCTGCTTTTTCAATTATCTGATAGCTCTTTGTAATGCATGAAAAGCAATTGAAGCTGATCAATGCCAGAACTAATCATATACAAGACCATGAATAGAGAAGATTGTTAAAGAGGAAAAATCTATTGAATCATTTTAGAAAATATGAAAAAGGCTCAATTACATACCTAATTTTATTCCCATGTCTATTTCTTTCAAGTGGTTCAATAGATGCATGGAGTACTGCAGATTTTGAGGGTTTCTTTGCTTTCTTTCTTTTTTTTTTTTTTTTTCTGAGACAGAGTCTCACTCTGCTGCCCAGGCTGGAGTGCAGTGGCACCATCTCGGCTCCCTGCATCCTCTGCCTCCCAGGTTCAAGCGATTCTCCTGCCTCAGCCTCCTGAGTAGCTGGATTACAGGCGCATGACACCATGCCCAGTTAATTTTTTTTTGTTTGCTTTTTTAGTAGAGATGGGGTTTCACCATGTTGGTTAGGATGATCTCGAACTCCTGTCCTTGTCATCCACCCGCCTCAGCCTCCCAAAGTGCTGGGATTACAGGTGTGAGCCACCGCGCCTGGCCAGGTTTCTTTAAATGACCATCATCCACTCATCTACTTATATATCTTTTCAAACTTGTACTTTTCATTCAAGAAAGATGATGTGCTAACATTGATGCTTCATAACTAGACGATTAACATTTCAATATTTTAAAATTGAGACATTCTCTGATATTCTTTTCATTTCAGTTATTCAGTGTAATAGACATGTTTCCAGAGAATGAAGATTGATGAAGTATTCATAACTTTCAGAACTTTTCAAATTCTATCTATGCTTTGTACATTCCCTTAACAGTTGAAGAAGTGTTAAGCAATTAGCTAACACTTCTTGAATTTTGAAAAAAATATTCAAGGTCCATGCTCATGTCAGTGTATCATAAATACCAACAATTAGCAGAATCATGGATTTTTTGGCCAATATCTTATAATTACAGTTGTTCTACATCAAATTATCTACTTAGCTAATATATTCAGATTATTCTTTAAATATAGAAGAATTTCATTTTTATATTGTTAGTCTATGAATTTATCTTCATACCTCCATATCCCTCTGAATGATCACAATTAAAAACTTTTGCTATAAAATGATAGCATTAAGAAAATGAAATGAGCAGTCACAGACTAGAAACAGATGCAAACTTACTGATAAAAGTCTTATATCCAGAATATATGGTAATGTGATTTGAATATTTGTCCCTTCCAAATCTCATCTTGAAATGTGATCCTCAATGTTGGAGGTGGGGCCTGGTAGAAGGTATTTCATTCATGGTGTCAGATACCTCATGAATTGATTACTGCCCTCTTCATGGTAATGAGTAATTACTCACTGAGTTCACACAATATCTGTTCGTTTAAAATGTCTGGCTCCTCCTCCTTCCTCTCCTTCCTCTCCTTCTTCCTCCTCCTCCTCACCCTTCTCCTCCTCCTCCGCCTTCTTCTTCTTCTTCTTCTTCCTCTTCTTCTTCTTCCTCTTCTTCTTCTTCTTTTCTCTCTCTCTCTCTCCATGTGATATGCCTGTTCTTGCTTCACTTTATGCCATGAGTAAAAGCTCCCTGAGTCCTCAATAGAAGCAGAGCAGATGCTGGTGCCATGCTTCCTATACAGCCTACAGAACTGTGAGCCAATTAAACCACTTCCTTATACATTACCCAGCCTCAGATACTTCTTTATAGTGTCCAGTAATACAAAAATGGCCTCACACAGAAAATTGGTATTGAGGAGTGTGGCGTTGCTATAAAGATATCTAAAAAATGTAGAAGCAGCTTTAGAACTGAGTAATGGGCAGAGGTTGGATGAGCTCCTCATGCTATATTACTGATGTTAATTTCTGCAACAAAATACTACTAAATGCAATGACATGAACACACCTCAAAAACATAATGCTAAGTGAAAGAAATTAAATTCAAAAGACTGCATATTATATGATTATAAATCTATTACATTTATTGAATAGGCAAAACCATACAGATAGAAAGCACATCAGTAGTTCACTGGGACCAAGAATGTGGGCAGGATAGGCTGAAGATGAGCATGAGGGGCATTGTTTGCATAAAAGAAATGCTTCTGGTTGCTCATACCTATAATCCCAGCTACTTGTCAGGCTGACAGGGAGAATCACTTGAGGCTAGGAATTTGAGACTAGCCTGGGCAACATAGTAAGACCCTGTATCTAAAAAAAAAAAGCACTAAAATTGGATTACAGTGTTGATTGTGCAACTGTATAAATTTACTAAACTGTATAAGTTTAATAAAATATAAAATGGGTAAATTTTGTAGCACATAAATTATACCTGATTAAAACTTATTTCTTTTAAAGTCCTATTGATATAACAACTATTAACATAATTAAACACAACACTTTTCTGAAAAAATCTAAGATTGAAGAGAATTCTGATCTAAATTTCAATAATATTTTAGTTAGAAAAGCAAATGAGAGCCAGTGTGTGTAATGATTAAATACATAAATTCTATAGCCTGCTTGCCTGATTTCAGATAAAGGTTGATCATCCTAAAACCAAAAATCCAAAATCATAAATGCTTTAAAATCTGAAACTTTTTCTGTGCCAGCATGATGCCACAAGTGGAAAATTCCAACACCTGACCTCATATGAGGTGTCACAGTTAAAATGCAGTCAAATTCATTCCAAGTATATTTTCTAACCACATGGAATGGAACTAGAAATCAGTAACAGGAAGAAAATGGGAAAATACACAAATCCATGGAAACTAAAAAACAATCTCTTGAAGAACCACTGAATCACTGTGGAAATCAAAAAAGAATTTAGAGTATCTTAAGAGAAACAAAAATAAAAACAGCAACCCAAATCTATGGAAAGCAGCAAAAGCAGTAATCAGAGAGAAGTTTATAGCAATAAGAGGCTATATTTAAAAGAGAGATTCCAATTAAGCAAACTAAACTTGATTTAACTTTAAGGAACTAGAAAAAGAACAAACTAAGTCCAAAGTGAATAGAAGAGATAATGACCATCAGAGCAAAAATAGATCAAATAGAGAAAAAAGTTTTTTAAAAAAGCACAGAAAAAAAATACAACTGGGTGTGTTTTTTTAAGATAAACAAAATAAACAAATACTTACCCAGATTAAATTTTAAAACAAGGAAGATGACACTCAAATACATAAAATAAAAAACGTATTACAGTGGAAATCTCAGAAATAAAAAGTAATAAGGGACTATTATGAACAATTATATGCCAAAAAGTTTGATAACATAGAATAAATGGATAAAATTCTAAAATCATACAAACTATCAAAACTGAATCAGGGAGAAATAGAAAGCCTGAATAGAAAAATAACAAATTAGGAGGTTGAATAAGCATTCATTCAAAATATCCTGAAAACAACAAAAAGCCTGGGACCTAACAGCCTCACAGCAAACATTCAAAAAATGAATATCAAGTCTCCTTAACTCTCCTAAAAAGTAAAATAAGAGGTAATACAAACACATTTTATGAGGCCAACTTCACCCTGATATCAAAGTCAGTCAAGACACCACAAGAAAAGAAACTATAGGCTAATATTTGTGAGAAATATTGTTGCAAATATTTCATGTAAAATTGATAACATTCAAAGGATTATACATCATGATCAAGTAAGATGCAAGGATGCAAATCAATCAACATGATACAACACATTAATGAAATGAAAGAAAAGCCACATGGTCACCTTAATTGATGCAGGAAAAGTATTGGACAAATTTCAACACCCATTTGTGAATTAAAATATCAACAAAATAAGTATAAAAGAATCTTATTTCAACACAAAGGCTACGTATGAAAAGCCCATAGTTAACATTATAATCAATGGGAGAGAACTGAAAGCTTTCCCTGGAAGATTGGTACAATGCAAGGATGCCCACTCTCACCACTTCCTTTCACCATAGTATTAGAAATCCTAGCCCAAACAATTATGAAAGCGAAAGAAATAAAAAGCATTCAAATCAGAAAGTAAGATGTAAAAATGTCTCTGTTTGATGATAACATGATCATATATATAAAGAAAACCATAAAGACTCCAAAAATAAAACAAAAGAAAAACCTGTTAGAATTTAAAAATGAATTTAGTAAACTCACAAGATACAAAATCAACACACAAAAATTAGTGGTGATTCTATACACAAACAACAAACTTTCCCAAAATCAAATTAAGAAAATAACTCTGTTCACAGTAGTAACAGAAGTAATGAAATACCTAGGAATAAGCTTAACCAAAAAGGTGAAAGACTTGTACACTGAAAAATATAAAACATTGATATAAAGGAAATTAAAGAAAACACAAATAAATCAAAAGACATCCCATGTTCAGGCACTGCAAGAAATAAGATTGTTAAAATGTCCATACTGCCCAAAGTAATCAACAAATTTAGTTCAATCCCTATCAAAACCCACATGGTATTCTTCTGAGAAATAAAAAAAAAAAAAAAGCTAAAATTCATATGGAATCATAAAAGACTTCAAATAGCAAAAGTAACCTTGAGCAAGAACAACAAAGCTGAAGGCATCATACTTTCTGATTTCAAGCTGTATTACCAAACTATAGCAATAAAAGTGTTTTAGCATTTAGACCAATGTTTTGACACTTAGACTGATGTAATAAAATAGAAAGCCCAGAAATAAACTCAAGCACATACAGCCAAATAATGTTTTATAACAGTGCCAAGAACACAAGTAAGAAAGGAGAGTCTATTCAATAAATTGTGTTAGAAAAACAGGATATCTACATGCAGAAAAATGAAACTGGATCCTTACACCATATACAAAAATCAACTCAAAATGGATTAAAAACCTAAACATAAGACCAGAAAAGGTAAAACTACTAGAAGAAATCATAGATGCAAAGCTCCATGACATTGGTCTGGCAATGATTTTTTGGATATGACCCCAAAGCACAGGCAACAGAAGCAAAAATGGACAAATAAGATTATATCAAACTATAAAGCTTCTGCACAGCAAACATCCAACAAAGTGAAGAGAAATGGGAGAATATATGTGCAAACCGTACATCTAGTAAAAGTTACTATCCAAAATATTTAAAGAACTCAAACAACTCATTAGGAAGAAAACATACCCCAATTTAAAAATGGACAAAAAACCTTAATAGACATTTCTCAAAAGAAGACACAAAATGGTCAAAAATTATAGGAAAAAATGCTCAACCTCACTAATCATGAGGGAAATGAAAATTAAAGTAACATGAGATACCACCTCACACCTGTTAGAATGTCTATCAAAAAGCTGATAGATGACACATGCTGTCAAGGATGTGGAGAAAAGGGAAAACTCTTATATTATGTTGGTGGGAATGTAAATTATTGTAGTCATTACGAAAATTAGTATGGAGGTTCCTCAGAAAATGAAAAATAGAATTACCGTATAAACCAGCAATCCCACTACTAGGTATGTATCCAAGGGAATTGAAATCAATATGTCAAAGAGCTATCTGCACTCACATGTTCACTGCAGCATCATCATGATAACCAAGATATGGAATCAACCTGTGTTCATCAACAGATGAGTAGATAAAGAAAATGTGGTACATGTACAAAATGAAATACTGTTCAGCCTTAAAACAGAAATAAATTATTTTATTTGCAACAACAAGGATGAACCTGTAGGACACCATGTTACATGAAATAAGCCAGGAGCAGAAAGATAAACACCACGTGATCTTACGTATGTGGAATCTAAAAAAGTTGAACTCAGAAAAGTGGAGAGTAGAATGGCAGTTATCAGGGTCTAGGGTAAAGGTGGAGCGGGCAGGGTTGGGAAGGTGTTTATCAAAGGATACAAGATATCAGTTAGAGAGCAGAAGTAAGTTCAAGAGATCTATTGTACAACATGGTTACTATAGTCAATAACTAAGTACTGTATTCTTGAAAATTGCTAAGAGCAGATTTTAAGTGTTCTCATTACAATAAATGACAAATGTGTGTTGTAAAACATATGTTAATTAGCTCAATTGAGCCATTTCATAATGTCTACAGATTTCAATACATAATGTTGTACATGATAAATATATACATTTTATTTGTCAATTAAAATATTTTAAAAAGTAAATTATATTTTGTTACACATGCATATAAACATATAAAAGCGCAGATTGGCAATATCATTATGGTTATCTCTAGATGTTAATTTTTTCCCTCACTTTAAAAAATTTTTTTCCACAAATATGTTGTACCTGCTTAAATATAAATTAAATTAAAACTGGCAATATTAGTATTTTAAATATATTATGCCAAACACTGAAAATATAACAAACATTCATCCTGATCTTTTGTCAAAAATAAATCTAATAAAAAAAATAAGCTGCACCCCTCACATTTGGTGTTATAAATCAAAAAATCATAATGGCAGATACTTTTCTTTCTTTTCCATTGTCTCTTTTGCTTTGCAAAGACTGAAGGTTTAGTATTCTCTCTAAAAATCAATACATAAACTCTTTTCTTCCATTATTTACACATGGTAATTCTTCAACAAATTAACAGTTTCCAAGTAATTTCTGCTGCTTAAAAATTGCAGTTGAGTTTAAATGTGTTTTGAGAAATATGTGTTCTATTTATTAAAGAAGAAAATATAATAAATCTGTGCTTGAAACTTTTATGCATTTCTGAAACACTTGTAAATATTATTTCTTCTTTTCCTTTTTAGTGTCAGAAACTGTATTTTTTAAAGGATGCATTATTCACATTACCATTCATTCCTCAAATCCACTCGGTCAACCAGAGGAAAAATACATTAAACAAATTATTATTTTCACTGTGGGGGAAGGAGATGTTCTTTAGTTCCAATAACTCTGGCTAAATCAAAAATGGCAAAGTATGTTTCTCAGTTTTCATGATGGAGAACTATGGGGTCGAAAACTAAATTTTGGCTGGCAGTATATCCTCTTTCCCGTCACATTTGTAACCAACAGGACTATAGTTACTCACTATGAGTCTGAACTTTATAGCATTTTTCTTATTTCCTATATATGGTACATGCATTTTACAGTCTGTCTCATTCTATACACTACGAACTTAAAGTAGAAATTTCAATCTCAAAAGTTGAATTGTTCATTACCTTAAGCTTTTATTCAGGATATTTTTAGAATATTTAATTTTCTTACTAATTACAAGATTGGTATTACTATAAATCTCACTCCTTACACATAAAAAAGGCAAAGAAAGCCTGTCTCATTATCTGTGTGTGTTTTTTTTCAAACTATAACATTGGTTAATAAAGATAAAAATTTGAGGCTGTCTCAAAAATAATTAATATTTGCTTCTATGCAAAAGCAGCAAGAATTGTCTTTATTTCATCTTCCCAAAGGCAGTTTGTGCACATGTGTGTACAGAAAAACAAACAAACAAACAACATCAAAAAAAAACCTGATCTAGAGAAAGGTTTGGCTTTTGTCCTCGTCTCCTGGAACTCATCTCTAGGCCTTTGGAATGCTCCACCTGTTAGAGTGTTTTGCTTTACCTGAAAGCCTTGGGCCACAGCAAGAGTCTAACAATGTGACTTATAGTGGAACTTTGGCCCATATTGTATCTGCTCTACCTCCAGAGGGTCTGGAGGCTAAAGGTCAGCCACAGAGTCAGTCAACTATATCTGTGTAATTGAGCCTCAATAGGCCTCTGTGCACCAAGGCTTGGATAAGCTTCTTTGGCTGCAAGTACTTCATGCATATTGTCACACTTTACTATCAGGAATGTTAGGATTGTCCCTGACCCCACTGGAAAAAGACAACTAAAAGCAAAACTTTCATAGACACTGTTCCATGCATCTCTATCCTTGGTTGATTTTAATCTGTATGTTTCCACTGTGATAAACTGTAACCATGAATAAAATAGCCTTCACTGAGTTCTATTAGTCCTTCTTGTGAATTATTGCAACTAAAGGTGGTCTCAGGAATCGTTAAACTTGCAGGTAGTATCAGAAGTGAAAGTGATCTTCTGGACTGCTCACTAACTTTACAGTGTAATAAGATGAAGATTGTGTACACATCATCCAATGAAATAATAGTGTGATTTATTTTAATCTACAAAGAAAGAACTAATTTATCAATTCTGGAAATTTTTATCTCTGCGGTTTTGTTTTTTGTGCTATATAGGCACACTTGAAATCATATGATATGGTAAATACCTTCTAAATACATATGATCCTTCCTGTTGAGGAATGAATAGTAAACAGTTTTCTAAAAATGATGTTTTAGAATGCTTAGACAAAGAATTAGGTATGTGGGTAATTAATACATAATATCAGAGAAATTTTAAAAAGAAAATGAAATGACACAAATCTATATCAATACCTCTATCTATAATAAAACTTATAATTAATTACAATAACAATATTGTCGTCTTTAAATTTTGGATTTTGAAATTGTCAATAGCAAAAGAAAAAAATGTTATGTTTAAGATTGTGTTTACATGAACAAACAGTGGCTGAAAATGTATTAAGTGGACAATAGCATATTTTCCTGTAAAAATGTGACATTTGGCTTTACTTATATACTCATATTACCACATGTACACATATTATTTAAAATTTGCAATTATCAAATATTTTATCCAATATCTGTGTGTGTAATACTTGCTATCTCCCAGGCCCAAAGCTAGTTGTGGAAGGTACAGTTTGGAACAGGACAACTATTCTTGATCTAAGACCTTTATTCCAATGCAGACTAGTAAATTGAACGTTACAATGCAGCATGAAAATTTAACAGTAGGATTATGTAGAATGGGCACCATAGGAATGCATTGGAAGAACTTAAAATCCAATCTGGAATCCAGTTAGAGAAGTCTTCTGAGAGGATATTCCATTTAAGAGTAGAATGGATTGAGGGTACAGAGGGAGGCAGAGAGAGGAGCTGTTACCATGAGTCTGTGGGTAAGTCATAAACCAGCATTATGGAAACCGCAGTTATTGAGGCTACAAGTAGTGTGAGAAGGTGAGTAAGCTGAGATAAAGGTGACATGATTAGCAGAGGCAAAATTTAGGAAGGGTTTGGTTTTGCTTTTTATCCTTGAGGCAAAGGCAATAATTATATGTTTAATTAAGAACTCTCAGCTTCCATAGAAAGAGTGAATTTCGGGCTTGAAAAATTAAAAGGGAGTTAAAGAAGCTGCTATATTTATTAATCCAGGTAAGAGAGAAAAGACTATTTAGGCTTTGATTACTTACAATTTTATTTTGACATATGTTATTATTTTAATTTATATAACCTCTTGGGATCTATTGTGATTAGAAAATATTCATTTTTTTCTTTCAAATTTTAGAGTCTAAAAAGTCTAAAAGAGTTCTACACATCAAATCATTTCACTCTTTTTATTAAGTCTAACCAAATCTTCCACCACAATAATAAGATTAGGTGCCCAAACTTAAATTCTGATTAGTAGGGCCCTCATGTTCCTCTCTAAATTCTGAAAAATAGCATGGTTCCCCTGATTTATTCCAATGTCAGAATCTTCCAGAAAATGTGTTACTAGGTAGATTCCACACTGCTAATATATATTTTTCCTTTTGACATCTTACCTTAAAAATTTTATAAGTATTTTTCCTAAAATTTTATTTTGAAAATTAAAAAGAAAAACTTTCTTTTTTCTTTGCTACCCACTTATCCATCAGTTTTAAAATTTATCTGAGCACATTCTCTTCTTCTAAAATTTTATTAAAAGCCTCCCTCGCAAAACCAAAATACCTTTTTTCCAAAAATGTGTTTTTCTCATTTTCATAAAATAAATGTCATAGCATAGGTTTTTTTTTTTCTTAAAAGCTTCTTCTTCTTTTTTTTTTTTATTGAGATGGAGTCACAATCTGTTGCCCAGGTGGTGATCTCGGCTCACTGCAACCTCTGCCTATCGGGTTCAAGTGATTCTCCTACCTCAGCCTCCAGAGTAGCTGGGATAACAGGTGCCTGCCACCACATCTGGCTAATTTTTGTATTTTTAGTAGAGATCGTGTTTCACCATGTTGGCCAGGCTGGTCTTGAACTCCTGACCTCAAGTGATCCGCCCGCCTCAACCTCCCAAAATGCTGGAATTACAGGTGTGAGCCACTGCTCCTAGCCCTTAAAAGCTTTTAATTTGCTAGTCATTTATTCCTCATGTCATTAATTTATAAAATAGCATTATTACTCATTATTTGCAGGCTATGAGCTAAATACAGTAGAAATTAGAAAAGTATTACTGTAGAGTGGTTTAAAATTAGAAAGTTCTATATAACATAACACAGACATATATGTAGTATAGATGTAAATGATGCATATGTAATACCTACACAAAGAGTGACCAAACTATGGTAAATCATGAGGTTCAAATTGGTGGTAAATTCAGAGAAATTCAGAAAACAGCAAGTCTGCTTTTAACCAAAATAATAGTGGAGAAGGTCAGATTTGATATTTCTGGAAAAAATAACATTTTAATTTTTAGGGTAATTTGCAGATTTACTTGGAGCATTGGGCTTTTACTCCAAAAAAACTTCAGTTCCTGAGAAGAAAAAAATGTGCCTTTACACATCAAAATAACACACATAAAACTCTTCCCAATCCTAAATCCATTCAACCAAGTTAATGGAGAATGTATCCTCACACAATGACTGTAAGCATCTTGCTATTTGTGCCTTTAGCACTCTTTTTTAGTCACAACCTGTTTACTTCTTGGTGAAGAATTAATTGCTTGGGTCCCAAAGAAGAGTATATACATGCCTTTAAAAAAAAAAAAAAAAGGCAGTGATAATTCCACGGTCCATGAAACAACTCCCAATCAAGTTGCTTTTTGCATTGCTCCTGCAAAACATAACTTCGGTAGGTTTTGTTTTAACTCAGATATAACCACAGCTGTGTTTCCTTCTTCTTGCCCTTACTTGTGCCTTAGTAATTATTCCACCGGGTACCCTGGTCCTTCTCTTGATCATCCCTATGAATTCCCAGAATCTTTCAGGCACTCTGCATTGAAACCTCCAAATTAACATTTTCTTTCTAATGCATCACTCTCCTAATATTCAATCTGTCTCAAAGTCTTGAAGAGTCTTTCACTGTAGTATGTGTCTCAATGTCACCATCATCCACTCCCTATTACTTCTGTAATTAAGACAAGTTTTCCTAAATTTAATCACTATTTAATCTTTTTGTCATTCACAGGACATAACAATGTCTTGTATATATGAGATATTGCATAAATATTTTTAAATTTAAATGTTCAAAAGTATTTGTAAATTTACTCTACAAACACAGTTTTGTGTTTTTAACCTCAAATATCCTTATCCTATACCTTAGATAAAATGACATATAGTTTAAAAAGACAAAAAATTTGGAGTGAGAATAGACATAATCTTGATCCAGTACCTTGGAAGTGGCCATCTCTATTTCCTCACTTGGTAAGAAAGTGAGAAAGACGAGAGAAGGAGAAAGAGAAGCAAAGAGAATGGGGAGAAGGAAGGGAGAGAGAAAGAAAGAAATCATAAATCATAGTATTATAAAAAATGACAAAGATTGCAAATTATCTACTCAAATTTCTTTTTTCTTTCATAACAGGATGTTAGGTAATGTTCCCAGCTGAATAAAATGACATTTCATTTCTCAGCCTGCCTTGCAGTTACTTATGGCCATGTGGCCAATTTCTGCTTAACATTTTTGTGTGAAAGAAATGTTTGTGTGGAAATCCTGGGAAGTACACTAAAGGGATAAGACTCATCTCAGCTTCTACTGAGATTTTTCCCTACCTGGCTCCCTCCCCTCCTACTGCCCAGAAGGAGCATGAACATGTGTCAGGCTGGAGCTCAACAGCCCTCTAGACAGTGAGGTAACATACAGCATGAAAGCCTGAAAGCTGCACACACCATGCAGAAAAAAAGATAAAACGAGATTTGGTCCCAATAACTTTGCAGAGCCACCATGCCAGACCTTACTACTTAATCATTAATTTTTTGATGTAAAGAGTTAATTACTTATGTATTTAACACATTATTTTACTTATTATCTCATTTATTTACTTATGTACTGCTATAGTTTGAGTGTGTCCCCCAAATTTCATGTGTTGAAAATTTAATCCCCAAATTTATGTTTTGATAGTATTTGGAGGTGGTGCCTTTGAGAGGTAATTAGGATTAGATAAGGTCATCAGGTGAGGCCTTCATGATGAGACTAGTGGCTCTATAACAAGAGGAAGAGAGATTTGAGTTGACATGCTCTTGCCTTCCTGTCATGTGATGCCCTCTGCCATGTTATGACACAAGAAAAAAGACCCTCACCAGATGTAGCCCCTTAACCTTGGATTTCCCAGCCTCCAGAGCTGTAAAGAACTAAGCTTTTTTTCTTTATAAATTGCCCAGTCTTAGATATTCTGTTATAGCAACAGAAAACCAACCAAGATAGAAAATTGAGAGTGAAAAGTTGGGCTATTGCTAATAACAAATACCTAAAAAATGTAAGAGTGTCTTTGGAGCTGGATAATGAGTAGAGGCTAGATGAATATGGAGGAGCAGGCTATAAAATGCCTATGTTGCCCTGAATGGAGTGTTAACAGTGATTCTCATGAGGGCTTGGAAGAAGAGAAGACTAAGGAAAGTCTGGAACTTATTAAAGATTATTTAAGTGACTGTGACCATAATACTGGTAGAAATATGGACAGTGAAGACCATTCTGGTATGATCTCAGATGGAACTGAGGAACAAAGTATTGAAACCTGGACTGAAGACCATCCTTATTATAAAGACAAAAAACTTGACTTGATTGTGTCATGCCTGAGAGCTTTATGGAATCCAAAACTTAAGAACAATAAATTTGGATATATGACAGAAGAAATATCTAAGCAGCAAAGCAATCAGGCTGCCACATGGCTTCTTTTAGCTGCTTACATTAAGCTGTTAGAGGCAAAAGAATAACTTTTACCTTGTAGACAGAATTTATAATCAAAAAGGAAGCAAAGCAGAAAGATTGAAAAACTCTTAGTCTGGCCATGTAAAGAGTGAAAAGCATGCTTGGGAGAGAAAACCAAGTGTGTGGCCCAGCAACCTTTCGCTAAAGAGATTAGTATTGTTAGAAGGGGTCAGCAAGACAATTAAAAAAGGACCTCAAAGGCATTTTAGAGATTTTTGAAACTGCCTCTCCCATCATAGGCCCAGAGGGCCAGAAGTACAGAATGACGTCAGGGGATGGAGGATGGGCCCAAGGTGCCCTTCAGGGAATTGAAGCTCAGGACTGCCTCTAGGCTTTTCTCCTTGCATCCCAGCACAATGCTCTTTGGCTTCCACAGCCATGGTTCATGTGGGCTCATGTGTGGCTTAGGCCACAGCTTCAGAAGATGCAATTGACAAATCTTGGCAGCAGCCACATGATAAGTCTGCAGGCACATGCAATGCAAGACTTGTGGAGTCACAGCTTCCTCCACCTGGATTTCAAACTATGTTGCAAACAGCAGAGACTGGCCTTGTTACAGAGGCAGAGCCACCACAGAGAACCTTTACTAGGTCTATGCCAAGTGGAAATGTGGGGATGAAGTGAGAGCTGCCACGAGGAGCTCCCACAAGGGCAATGCCTAGTGAAGTTCCCAGGATAAGGCCATCCACAAGACCCTATAACTGTAGAGCTACCAGCATGCAATACCAGTCTGGGGGAACTGAAGGCACAACACTTCAACATGAGAGAATTGCTGAACCCAGCAAAGCCATAAGGGTGGGGCTGCCTGAAGCCTTGGTGGCCCAAACATCCCAGTGTGTCTAGGATGTGGCAGGAGTGAAAAAAATATATTTTGAAGGTTTTAGACTTAATATTGTTTTCCCTGTTGGATTTTGGACTTACTTGGGACCAGGTACCTCTTATTTCTTGACTCTTTCCCTTTTCTGAATGGAAACATTTATCCTATGTTTGTCCAACCGTGGTATTTTGGAAGTATAGGCATACCTTATTTTATTGTGCTTTGCTTTATCATGCTTTGCAGTTATTGTGTTGTTTATACACTGAAGGTTTGTAGCAACTTTGCTTCGAGCAAGTCTATCTCCACAATTTCTCCAACAGCATATGCTCACTTCATGTCTCTGTGTTAGCATTTTTTAGCAATCAAGTATTTTTTAAATTAAGCTATTTACCTTTTTTAGATATAATGCTATTACACACTTAACTATAGTGTAAACATAGCTTTATATGCACCAAGAAATGAAAAATATGTGTGGCTTCCACTGTTGCAATATTTGCTTTATTGTGGTGATCTGAAACTGAACCTGCATTATCTCTGAGATATGCCTATAAAGACCTTGTTTAATTTTACAGGCCCATAATTGGAGGGAATGGAACTCAAGATGAATTGAGCCTTAAATCTTAAATAAGACTTTGGACTTTTGAGTTGGTTCTGGAAGGAGTTAAAACGTTGTGGCTTTGTGGATGAAGTGAATGCCTTTTTCATGTGAGAAGGACTTGGATTTTGGGAACCAGGGCTGTAATGCTATAATCTAAATGTGTCTCTCAAGTTCCATGTGTTGAAAACTTAACTCCCAAATTTATGTAATGATGGTATTTAGAGGTGGGGCCTTTGGGAGCTAATTAGGATCAAATAAGGTCATCAAGGAGGTGCCTTCATGATGGGACTGGTGGCTTTATAAGAAGAAGAAAGACCTGAGCGACAGGCACTTACCTTCTTGTCATGTGATGCTCTCTTCCATGTTATGACATACCCAAAAGGCCCTCCCAGGCCCCTCAAACTTGGACTTCTCAGTTTACAAAACTGTAAGAAATATTTCTTTTCTTTATAAATTACCCAGTTTCAGGTATTCTGTTATTGCAAGGGTAAACAGACTAAGACAATGAACAACCCAAATCCTAGCATAAATGTTTATCCATCTCACTATCCAATATATTATTAAAGTATATCAGCAATAAGCACACTTATAACATATATAATTATCATTATTATTAAATTAATAAATGTTATCCCTCAGAAGTCCAAAAATACTCAAATAGGATATAACATTGGTAATGAAAAATTTTGACATTACATTATTTAGTCACAGACGTGAATCAAAATAGGTCATTTATTAAAATAAAAAGTGAATATTGTGTAACTCATTTACATTTTTTACATAATAAAATTAAGGGCTTAATTTCTAGTTATCCTTTGATCGAGTTTATGATGTTTCTCTGTATTCCTTAGGCATCTTAGTCTCTTTTCTACTGCCATAACAGAATACCACAGACTGGGTAATTTATAAACAATAGAAATTTATTTGGCTCATAGTTCTGGAGGTTGAGAAGTTCAAGAGCATAGCACTGGCATCTGGCAAGTTTCATCTTATGTTGGAACAGGAGAAGGTATAAGGGCATCACACAGGGAAGCAGCACATGCATGAGACCAAGAGAGGATGGAAACCAAACTTATCCTTTTATCAGGAGCTCACTTCTGTGATAATAGCCCACTCCTGTAATAACAGCATTAATTCATTCATGAAGGCAGAGCCCTTATGACCTAATCCCCTATTTAAAGTCTCGTCTTGTAATACTACTACAATGGCAATTAAATTTGCACATGAGGTTTGGAGAGAACATTCAAACCATAATAGCATCTGAGACTTTAGAAAGTATGAAAAATTGCAAAACTCTTGGCCCACCTTAAGTATGTTTTCACCTGAGTGTACTGCTTAAGAGCAATGTAAATATGTACTTTTACCAACATTTTGATATATCCAAATGCATTATTCTTGTACTTTTGAACCTTGGCTACTCAATGGACCTGAGAATCAAATACATTTCCTTTTGAGTGAGCAGATCATGATTTCACAGTCCTCAGTATATTTAAACTATAGAAGATCAGATTGTTGTTACTGGAAACTGAAGTTTCAACTAAAAAAAAAAAAACTGCAATGGTTAATTTTTAAACTTTCATCCTCAGTTCTATTAACCATCCTAGGGGGACAAGAGTCTTTTTCAGTGAACAAATAAAAAATTAGTTTTCTATTCAGTGATTATTTAAGTCTAGGGTACAATAGCCCTGTTCACATCATGGGTATGAAAAAATATCAAAATTTGGTTTAAACAAATATTATCCAAGCTGTAAAGTAAAATAAGATGTAGAATCAGATTTTATTTTCTCCAACACTTATCAAGAGTTTTCATATGCTTTTTTAAAAGCTATTATCTCACAACCTCTATAATGTATTTCTTAGTTTCTTTTCATGCGAAGGCAAGCTGTAGTGTGAACATTTATAATCATCTTTAAACCTATGGCATGCCTAATTTAATTTCACTAATACATATGTTCATATTATCAAAGATACATTTATTTTAAATTCTGTTTACTACATATTTCTTTAGAAGAGCATTACAAATGCATGCCAATGAAATATGTGAACATATTTTTAAAATTTTATTTCTGAAATTATATTTTTGAGACCAAGCTTTTTAATTTATGAAAAAATTTTAACCTCTCAAATTTTTAAATTTTCTTCACTCACTATACTTCTCTCTTATTGCATTTATTATAACCATTATATAACTTATTATTTATATTATTACTAAAAATAGAACCTGTTACTCCTTTAAGAATATAACATAATTAATTTGTTGCTTAAGTAATTATTGAATTATATGTTAAATCCTTGTGAAACTATAAGCTTTATTATAGCAGTCTCAATATGTATATACTTATTAACATTTGACCTCCATGAGCTTAGCACTTAGCATGGAACCTGGTACCAATAAGGGCTCAATTATTTTTTTCTGAATAAAAAATGAATAATTTTATGACATTTTACATCAAACTGTGGAATTAAAGTTATTTACTGTACACTATATATGCACTTGTGTGTGTGTGTGTGTGTGTATAAGAATTGTAGATAATATGCTCAAAAGTCCTTTTGTCCTCAATGACATAAAAAATCTCCAAGGGCTTTTGCAGATTGGGGTGTTGGTGGTAGATGATAGGTAGGAGGCTTCATGCTCTATGGATTCTCTCTCTTATAGAAATTCCTACATTTGACCCACAATTTGATTATCCCCATAAAACCTAGAAACTTGGTATAAACAGCTGGCTTTCTCATGAATAGTGGACATTTTTTGTTTTCAGGCCCATGACACTATCTCAGCCTACTTGTACTTTTCATAGATAAGGTAAATATATACCACACATTATTTGAGATTGTAGTGTAACACCATTATCTTACCAATATTCAGTTATATATAAAAAATTGCAATAATTTTACAGTTATATAGAAACAGTATTGAATAATTTGTTATTCTAAAGTTGCCTTTAATATTTTCTTTGTGTCGATACTAATGGTACATTCTTGAAATCTCATGCATAAGAAAAATAAAATATACAACTTCCTCATAAATGTGTAGAAACAGTAATGCTCTTCTACAATACTATTACAATAACCCTGGTCAAAAATAACATTGTACTTTCAAGTTTGTCAGAATCTTCAACTCATTATTGTTCTTGTTTTAGAATTTACACAAGAAATCTATCTTTAGATACTACCGGTTAACTTAAACAAATTTATTCTTAAATCAATGAGAACTATTTCAAGACTTGGTCAGTAAGTGTTTTGTATATTCCTCTTCTTATATACACCATCCAGAAACAAAAATGGAAGCAAAAGCTAAATTTATTGTTTGAGATTGTCACTAGAACATATTTATAGAAAAACAATACTACCATGAAATATACATTGCCTAGTTTATATATTAACTATTGAATTATTTCAAAATTAAATGTTTTGAATAAGAAAATTGTCATTTATTCCAAATAAATATGATAAAAGAAATATTGAACTCTCTTAGTTTTTAATGTAACAACCTTTGGATAACCTATCTTGTTCAATTTTACTATATTATAAATTTAAAAATCATTCTACCTTCAATTCTCTATCTTATTAATGATAATCAATTAAATTCACAATATTAGTTATTTTTATATATGACTTAAAATATTTTGACATTAAAATAACCCAATAGAAAAAAAGCTAGTTTATTTAATGTTTTCAAAGAAATTTTTATCATTTCAAACTACCTAATTGTCAATCTATTTGAAGTTAAGTAATGGTACAAATTTAGCCTTGCTATTTAATACTTTAACAATATAATGATTTTGCACACTATTCCAGGAATATAGGTTTAAATTATTCATAAAGGATAGTTTAATTCTAAAATGAATGGATAACTACACCTTATTTAACTGATGCTTGCATCTAATTATTTTGATATAGTTTCTTATTGGAAATGACTTTGGTTAACAGTAAATCGATTTTTCTCTCTATCATATGACAGACTATTTATCCTCCCTAACAAATACTTTTTTCAAGAAAAATAACTTATTTATAGTGACAAGAAGACATTTTCTATTTTATATGTAAAACTTTATCCCGCTGCATTTTACAATTTTAACACAGAGTAAAAAAGTTTGGTGAACCAGAATAGTGATGGGTCACCCTTAAAGGTATAGAATCATTATTATGTTAAATTTACTAAGTTTTTAAAAAGTTTTAATATTTAAAGACCCCAGAGATCAAGCAAAATGTATATAAAAGCTTTCTTTTGGTGCAGATCATTTTCATTACCTCTTCAAGTTAGTTATTATTGGTTTATAGAATGCTATTAATGCTTATATATTTATTGTTTTTATTTACTAAATTCTTAAATATGTAATATGTTTTTATTGGCTATTTGGAATAATACAATTATTGTTACATTTTATATTTTATTCAGATATCTGTATTTTTTTGTGTTTCATGCCTCACTTTTTTATTCATCAATTAGTTTGTTTTCAAAATAGAGAGAGAGAAAGCATGGATGATGTGCCAACCATTGCCCCAGTTTCTGGGAAGGAAGGAGTAGAAAAAATAACCACAGTCCTTGGTTCTTATGAAACCTTAAATCTAACAGGAAAAGTGGACATCTTACAAATTTAATTAATTCCAACTGACATAGTATTATGAATACAAGTTTGTATAGAAGCATATGCTAGAGGACCAAGACATATGAAATTCTTATTACACAATTTACTTATAAGGCAAATAACTATAATAAGGGAAACACGGTAATAAAACAAGATATAGTTTTAAAAACTGCAGCTATTTCTGCTGAAGAAATTTTAATAATGTGAGAAACGAAGGACTTTAAAATAAAGGAGACTTAGATAGCTCTCAATAGAAAATTATGTTCTCTCTGCCAAATGCCAAGGACATATCTAAAGTTTCTTGCATTGTAGCAGTAGAGGGAACAATTATACCCATATAGTAATGGCAAGTTTTAACATAACTAAATATGAGCCATTATGTAGCATTTACACTACACTGATTTTTCATAATTTATGCAATGACAAATGGCAAGTAAAAAGGCTATTGTTGCTTAAATATAATTCTTGATGACTTTACACTTCTAAGTTTCAACTTTGATGGAGATCGAAAAATTTTTGTAACTCCCATATCAGCCATATCATAAAGAACTAGTGGTTTCAATCAAAACATGACAGACTAGACGCAGCCAGGTGGAACAACTCCCAACGAAGGACCGAGACCACTGGCATGCTCCTAACAGATCTTCAGAGGGAAGGCACCGAGAGTGGATGGAGGGAAGACACAGAAACTGGGCTGAAGGGAGAAAGCTAGGAACCCTGCATGGGGCTACCACACGCCAGGACTCATTCCTGGCCCACAACGGCAGGGGCAATGAGTGTGTTTAACTGACAATGAGCAATCTGCTCTCGCCATGGGCCTCTGGAACCCCAGCAAAAGGAGACCTCTCAATCACTGTGGACACTCTAGTTGCCAGGGGGCTGCTGAAAGAAATGGTAGGAGCAGCAAGCCAGGTGATGTAGAGCCCACAGGGTTTGGTGTGGGAGCATCCGTAGTGGAACAAAGATAGGGTCGGCCATCCATCTAGGCTCAACTTGCTCCCATAAGAGACTTTAGCCCTATGACAACTGTTGGATCTCAACTTTGCCCTATGCCAACTGTTGGATCTCAATTTTGCAGGGTGGTCTTCCCCATCAGATGAGGCCGGTCCGACTTGAGCTCCCCTTGGTCTGCTGGCCTCTCCCAAGGCCCCAGCATACCCATGCCTGCTTGCTGGGCAATCTCAGGTTCCCTGGAGGCCTGCACTACACCAACTGCACTGACAGACCGTGCCTGACTGGCAGAGAGTTTCAGCAAGGTAGCCCCTGTAGCCATGCACCAGCCCACACATTCCCTCCCTACACTGCAGCTTCCCCTGGGCCCACAGCAACTCCCCACATCACTTTGCTGGCACATGTATGCAAGAGTGGGTTTTGATTTCCTTGCCCCACCAGTGTGCGGGAGTGCAGTCCGCCTCCCTTCCCACCGCCAAACTCTATGGCAGACAGAGGCTTGGCTGTCACAGAGCCAGCCAGCCCCACACCTAACACCACCTGACCTTGGGCTAACAGTGCTCAGAGAACAGCAGATCCTTCCCCACGCAGAACGATCACTCCCTCTTGCAGGGCACAGAGAAGGCACTCAGACCTATGCCCACCAGCCCACCTCCGAGCCAACACCACTTTCAGTGCTACAACACACAGTCGCCAGCAGGGGCCCCCTGCACCCCAACTGGGTAGCCTCCACCACTATGGTGAACACCCTCAGGGAGCCAGGCACCCCAGCACCCACTAGAACTCTGCTGTAGTTTCTTCTACTGCTGCTGTTGGCATGTACAAAGGAAGACAAATCCCATTGTCCCCACACTTCAAAATGCTTTGGCTGACACCACCCATCAGAATGGAGTGACTAGCAGTCTGGGAGCACCTCAGCTCTCCCAGCAAAGAGGATTTCTAACCTCAGTGAGCCAGACAACAAACTCAGGGCCCAATACAAGTCCCCGAGAGCTAAAGCATGCAGTCCGGGATTTGGGAACTGAGCATTGGCCTCCTAAAATCTTCCAGAAACAAAGCTAAGTTAGCTGAATCCACCCTATACCACAATCAAAGCCTCAAGGTCATCAAATAGGATAAAAAAAAAATCCAAAGGTCAGCAGCCTCAAAGATTGAAGGTAGATAACCCCAAATGATGAGAAAGAATCAGTGCAAGAAACCCGAAAACTCACAAAGCTAGAGTGCTTTCTTTCCTCCAACTACTCCAGGAAGAGTTCTGAACCAGGCTGAGATGGGCTGAAACAACAAAAATAGAATTCAGAATATGGATAGGAACAAAGATCATTGAGCTACAGGAGTACCTTGAATCCCAATACAAGGAAGCTAAAAGTAATGGTAAAACAATGCAGGAGCTCACCGACAAAATAGCCAGGAGAGAAAAGAATGTAAGCCCGATAGGGCTGAAAAACACACTATAAGAATTTCATAATCACAAGTATTAATAGCAGAATAGACCCAGTGGAAGAAAGAATCTCGGAGCTTGAAGACTGACTTTCTGAAATAAGACAGACAAGAAGAGAGGAAAAAAGAATGAAAAGGAACAAACAAAACCTCTGATAAATATGAGATTATCCCAAATCTATAACATCATTGGTGTCCCTTAAAGAGATGGGAAGAAAGAAAGCAACTTGGAAAACATACTTTAGGATGTCATCTATAAGAACTTCCCGAGCCTAGTTAGAGAGGCCAACATTTTCACAAGAAGATCATCCCTAAGACACATAATCATCAGATTCACCTAGATCGAAATGAAACAATTTTAAAGGCAGCTAGAAAGAAAGATCAGGTCACCTACAAAGGTAAGCCCATCAGGATAACAGCAAACTTCTCAGCAAGTCAATAACTGTGATTCATCACATAAAAAGAACTGAAGAAAAAACTACATGATTATCTCAATAGATGCAGAAAAGGCTTTCTATAAAATTCAATACTCCATATTAAAAACTCTCAGTAAACTAGGTATTGAAGGAACACACCTCATAATAAGAGCCATCTATGAGAGACCCACAGCCAACATCATACTAAATGGGCAAAAGTTGAAAGCATTCCCCTTGAAAACCAGCACAATACAAGGATGCCCTCTCTCACCACTCCTATTCAACATAGTATTGGAAGTTCTGGCCATGGCAATCAGGCAAGAGAAAGAAATAAAGGGCTTCCAAAAAAGAGAGGAGGTCAAACTACCCGTTTGCAGACAGCATCATACTATATATAGAAAACCCCTTAGTCTGAGCCCAAAAGTTCTTTCAGCTGATAAACAATGTCAGCAAAGTCTCAGGATACAAAATCAATGTGCAAAAATCACTAACATTCCCATACACCAACAACAATCAAGCCAAGAACCAAATCAAGAACACAATCTCGTTCATAATTGCCACAAAAAGAATAAAAAACCTAGGAATACATCTAAGCAAGGAGGTGAAAGATCTCTACAAAGAGAACTACAAAACATTGCTCAAAGAAATCAGAAATGAGACAAACAAATGGAAAACCATTCCATACTCATTCATAGGAAGAATACATATGGTTTAAATGGTCATACTGCCCAAAGCAATTTATAAATTCAATGCTAATCCTGTTAAACTGACATTGACATTCTTCACAGAACTAGAAAAAACTATGTTAAAATTCACATGGATCCAAAAAAGAGCCCGAATAGCCAAGGCAATGCTAAGCAACAGGACAAAAAAAGGCATCACACTACCCAAATTTATACTATACTACAGGGCTACAGTAACCAAAGCAGCATGTTATGGGTACAAAAAGAGACACATAGACCAATGGAACAGAATAGAGAACCCAGAAATCAGGCCACACACCTGGTTATCCATATGCAGAAGATTGAAACTGGAGCCCTTTCTCCTACCATATACAGATATTGACTCAAGATAGATTAAAGACTTTAACATAAAACCCAAAACTATAAAAACTCTGGAAGACAACCCAGGCAATATCACTCAGGACATAGGAATGGGCAAAGATTTCATGACGAAGACACCAAAAGCAATTGCAACACAAGCAAAAATTGACAAATGGGATGTAACTAAGCTAAAGAGCTTCTGCACAGCAAAATAATCTATCAACAGAATGAACAGAATCTACAGAATAAGAGAAAAATTGTGTGAACTATGATTCTGATAATGATCTAATATCCAGCATCCATAAGGAATATAAACAAATTTACATGAAAAAAAAACCAAACGTGGCAAAAGATATGAACAGACACCTTTCAAAAGAAGACATACATGTGGTCAACAATCATATAAAAGAAGTTCAACATCGCTGATGATTAGGGAAATGCAAATCAAAATCATAATGAGATACCATCTCACACCAGTCAGAATGGCTATTATTAAAAAGTCAAAACATAAAAAATGCTGGCAAGTTTGCAGAGAGAAAGGAACACTGATACATTGTTCGTAAGAGTGCAAATTAGTTCAGCCATCATGGAAGACAGTGTGGTGATTGCTCAAACATCTAAAAACAGAAATACCATCTGACCCAGCAATCTCATTACTGCGTATATACACAAAGGAATACATTTTCTGTTTATGTGAGGAATCACATTTATTGATATGCTGGGTGGTCTGCTGTTAGTCTGATGGGCTTCCCTTTGTAGGTGACCTGACCTTTCTCTCTAGCTGCCTTTAACATTCTTTCTTTTCTACCTAGGAGAATCTGATGATTATGCATCTTGGGGATCATCTTCTTGTGAAGTATCTTACTAGGGTTCTCTACATTTCCTGAATGTGAATGTTGAATTATATACAAATAGGGGTGCCTGTTCTGCTGACAAACATTATCCAATAGCTTAGTCCAAGCTACCCTAGCCTTGTTTATTTGATAATATGTTCCACTTATTGGACAAGAGCATATGATCAAAAATTAGCCAATTACAGGTCACAGTACCCTCAACCATTTGGCCTCAGTAACTACTTTCTAAATGTCCCCAAATCCTGTCACTTCTGAGGCTACTTCTCCTGATATTGAATGCTGATATTTTGTTAGGTTTTATATTTGTAATTTTTATTTGTTTAATTAATTAGAGTAACGTTTTCATCACTTACAAATGAATCATAAGTAATACAGTGGTATATGATATAGAAAGTTAGTTTAGCATTATCTGAATCTTTCAAACAATATTAAATAAAAATAATGAAAATAGTAGCAAAATGATGATGTATATTCGTGAATTTAATACCTTCTTCTCCCACTCATTTAAATAATTAATAACAAAGCTATCAAACAATAATCAGAAATAGAAACATAAAGATTTTATCTATTCAAATTGTTGATTAATAATATAATGCTCCTGAATATGTTTAAACACATTTTTAAAAGGGGACCAAAAATGAGTAAGGAACCAAATATGATGAAACTGACAAATTCTATTTGAAAAAGGGTCAAATTCCAGAACTAAAATAATTAAAAATATAATTATTTATACCGAAAGTTCTAAAGAACATTTATAGAGCAGAATGGACATAGGTAAAGAGAAAATTCCTTAATTAAAAGGTAGGTTAGAACACGTTTTTAAATCATAAAATAAAGACAGGGATATAAAATATATGAAACAAAGGTTAGGAAAAATATAAAATAAATTGAAAAGATAAACTATATGATAAGTAAGGTTCCAAAAGGAAGTAACAAAAAAAGGAAGAAATATGTCATATAGAAAAAATAATGATTGATAATTTTCCAGAAAGCATGAAAAACACCAATCTTTAGATTTAGAAAGGCTATTTACAAGTAGGAATAATTAAAAGATGTCTACATGTACACATTTTAAGCTAATTGCAAGTAACTGAAGGTAAGGAGAACATAAAAGCAGACATAGGAAAGAAAGATTATCTATATATAAATTTAAATTTAAATTTAAATTAGACTGTGACTTACCAAAATTTTAAAAAATGACAGCCAGTATAGAATGTAATATCTTTAATGTGCTGAAGCTAAATGGCTGCCAACTAGAAGTCAAATAACCAGCAAAATGTATTTCAAGAGTGAAGCTGAGGCCCAGTGTGATAGGTCACACCTGTAATCTCAGCACTTTGGAAGGCCTAGGCAGGACGATCGCTTGAGACCAGCAGTTCAAGAGCAGCGTGAGCCATACAGCAAGAACCCCTCTATACAAAACAAAACAAAACAAAACAAAAAAATTAGCCAGGAATAGTAGCTTGTGCCTGTAGTTCTAGCTACTCAGAAGCCTAAGGTGGGAGGACTGCTTGAGCCCAGAAGTGTGAGGTTGCAGTGAGCAATGATGGTGCCACTGCACTCCAGCCTAGTGACAGAGCAAGACCCTATCTTCAAACAAATAAACAAAAATGAAAACTTGCATAAGGCTGAATTAAGTACTTTTCAGATATTCTGAAATCTAAAGAAAAATTAAAATAAACACACATTACTAAAGAAACTTCTAAATACTTGCTAAAATGAAGAAAAGTAATCACAGAAAGTATAAAATGTAAAAAAAAAAAAAGTAAAGAAAATAGGAATGTATACATAAAGCTAAACAAATGTTGAAATACTAAATATTTATTACAAAATAGTAAAAGCAATTTTTGGTATGGAATTTAAGAACAAAACAAGATAGAGTTAACAGCTAGGAAACAAGAGCAGGAAAACAGAGAACTGGCTAAAGAGATGTTGAATAATATTAGACTTTATCAGATATGCGTCTTAAAATTTCAGATAATCGCCTGTCAAAAATAAAATCTGATAAAATTAGAAAAATTTTTGAAACCATATTGTTGTACAACTAAAGAAACCACAGATTGCTATCCAGGAAACTTCAAACCAAAAATGACTATAATAAATAATAATGCATTGTATATTTCAAAACTGCTAAAAGAATAGATTTCACATATTTTCATCATCAAAAATAGTAAGAATATGAGGCAATGGATTTGTTAATTAGCCTAACTTAATCACTGTATATTATAAACATATATCAAAACTTCACATTGTATCCCACAAATATATATGCTTATTATTTGTCAGTTACAAAGAAAACAAAAAACCTAAAGTCGTAAGAAGGTTACAGGCTCACCATTACAGAATGGCTTGTAAAGTGAATGTGAGAAAGTTGATTAACACTTTCAGTGACTGGTTACTACAGTGAAGTTTTCCCGATTGCAGTGGATTGGTTAGAAGTTATTATATTACTTGTGGAAGATGATTCAAGTTTTGTTTATGATTTTCAGAAGCATTTACAAGAAAGAATCTAAGTTTCCTTTATATGAAAAAAACCAAGCATGATTAAATTTTGCTTTTGTGGCCTAACTGGTTTTGTCTGCTCAGGGAACCCCTTGGCCTGATCTCTTTTCTATTTCATTTAACACACTTAAAGAATAGATTGTATATAGCAGAGGGGAGAAGAAAATCTTTAATCAATGCAAAATATTTCAAAGTTACAGAAAAAGAAACAAAATGCAGATACTTAAAAGCACACAAATAGATGGCAAAAAGAAAAAAACATAATCAGAAAATGTACAAGTGTTAAAGCCTTCTGTTAAGGGACATATGATTGGATATAAAAAATACACATATAGATAATTTTCAAAATCCTAACAATAACAATTGCTGATGAGGTTGCAGAACACCATGAATTCTTCATTTATTGTGGTAGGAATGCAAAATAGTACAGACAATCTGGAAGATAGTTGGAAATTTCTTACAAAGCTAAACATAGTTTATCATAAGATTCAGTAATTATGTTTCTACATCTTTACCTAAATGATTTAAATGTCTGTGTCCCTACAAAAACCAGGATACACATTCATTCATAATCATAATAAATTGGAAGGAATTAAGATAGCCTTTCACTGGATGGATAAACAAACTAGTACATTTATACAGTTTGATACTATTAAATAATAAAAAAGAATAAAATAATAATAAAAAATAAAATAAAAAATAATAAAAAAACCATCAAGTCATGTTAAGACATGGATAAATGATAGATCATATTACTGCCTGAAAAAAGCCAATCTAATTATATATATAATATATATATAATTTAAATATAATTTATATAAAATATATATATTTATATTGTATGAATCCTTTAACATATTGTCTTAGTCAGTTTGGGTTATTATAACAAAGTACCATAGGTTTGGTGGCTGATAAAAAACAGAAGCTTGGCAGGGCACGGTGGCTCATGCCTGTAATCCTGGCACTTTGGGAGGCTGAGGCAGGTAGAAGATTAAGTAATTCAGTACGTTTTGTAGGATTCCTGAAGGCTGAAGCAATGTTATCTATCTTTGCTTCTCCTTTACCACTCCTTGCATCTCTGTTTTGTCATCAATATCATGTTGCTGTATGATCAGTTGACACAAAGCATTTAAAGGAAGAGACACATATGTGATTAGAGTCCCTATACTCAATGAATTATAGTTAAATTATTAAAGTTGCAAAAGACTGCAAACAGGAATCTGCCGCTACTTTGCACCAAGATCCTAAACATGTTACTGATTTCCTTAAACTGAATTTTTTCATTTGTTAATTGGAAGTAACAAAGACATTTAATTCTTTCCCAAGGCTCTAAAGTTATAATTAAATAATAAACCAAAAATAAATAAAGGATAGATGTGAAAATGCTTCAAACACAATTAATAATAAAGCACTTGTTTACTGTGATGTAAGCTCGACAGCCAGCCATAGTTGCCACTTTTGCACTCGTCTTTGAGGCTCCCTGGAGTTTTAGCAAGTACAGGCTGTGTCCTTCTTGATGGAGCATTCTTCACACTGCAGGGTCCTTGCCAGGTCCATTTTACAACTTTGGTTTTAAATATATGGCAGAAATTTTCACATACTATTTTAGACAATCGGTTATAGAATATTTTGCTCACAAATAATTCCTGATATATTTCTTATATAAGATTAACTATGACATTATAATCATATCCCATGCTTCAGCTATATGTATAAAAGCATATGTATATGTATATTTGTATATAAGCGTGTGTATCTACATGTTTGTGTATGTGTATATAGATAAATGTGTATCTATCATCTCTGTGTGTGTGTATATATATATATACACACATATATGTATATATGTATATATACATGCAAAGATTGATATATTGCTGAAAACACTAATACTGCAGTAGAGCATAAACATTGAATTTAACTTTTTTTTCTTTTTCATGAATGATTAATACTAATTCAGACATTTTGTTTTACCTAAGAAACTTGGCAACATTTGCCAGGTATTATTAACTGGCAAGTGGTATAATTATGAAACTGAGAGCTGGAAGAAGCTTTAAAATCATCAAGTAAAAATTACCAAATTCTCAAATGAGCTAAATTGTGAGCAACAATTTCAAAAGGTTTTTATTCCATTTATTTTCTGAGTCAAATGCTAAAATAGGAATTTTATGCAATGACTTTCTAAAGTAATTATTATCAACTCCAATTACAATTAAGGAATGTGAGGCTGAGAGAGCTCTATCATGTTCAAGTTTGCCCAGGTATTAAATGGCAGAGCCACGTTGAATACACATCTGTGTGACTGAAAAGTTTGTATGTTCCCTGATAAGCCATGTTACATAGAGAAATTACCAAATGATTCATGCTAGACCATGATACCAGTGAGACACAGAGCTGAGTCTAGAGCTCAGTGCCATTTCTATATACACTATGTAATTGGTAGCACCCAAATATGCTAATAATGGTAGTTAATTCCTAAAAATTTTTATTTTAATAGCTCTAACCAGCTACAAAGATATGTGGTCAATAACAAAATGGTTGTTTGTGAGCAACAGAAATTATGTATTGTGTTACAGGTTTTTGTAACTAAGTTGAAAACTTCAGAGATAACTAAAAATATTACTTTCAATTGCAGTTCACATGCTATTCTGTTCACATTTTATATTTATGCATGGGTACATTTGACATTTTAAAAATAATTATTTAACTCAAAGTAGTCATAAAAAGTTTTCAATTGTTTTCTAAATTAAGAAATAATAAATATATAAATGTGAATGAACTTAATGTTCAAAAAATAAATTTTGTATAAATATTCAGAGTACTTGGAAAACAAAAAGATTGTTGTAGTACATTTAAATATAAACATATTCATTTTAAAGTTTACTTGCTTTGCCACAAGTTTTGTAAGGAGTGCTATTCACATACAAGTATTGTAAAGAGCTATTTGGGATGGATAAAGTGTTACTTTTTGGCTGAGCGCGATGGCTCATGCCTGTAATCCCAGCACTTTGGGAGGCCAAGGTAGGTGGATTACGAGGTCAGGAGATCAAGATCATCCTGGCTAAGATGGTGAAACCCCGTCTCTACTAAAAATACAAAAACAAAATTAGCCAGGCAGGCACCTGTAGGCCCACCTACTCAGGAGGCTGAGGCGGGAGAATGGCGTGAACCCAGGAGGCAGAGCTTGTAGTGAACCAAGATCGCGCCACTGCACTCCAGCCTGGGCGACAGAGGGAGACACCGTCTCAAAAGAAAAAAAAAAAAAAAGTGTTACTTTTTAACATTTCAATTACAAAAACTTGTTTTATATTTTATTAAAACAATATGGTATTATTCTAAAATAACATATTTCTCTTCTTGTTTTTCAGCAATGGCTTCTTTAAAGGTAAGAACTTATACCAATAAATCTAGATTAGTTTCATGTTTCTGGCCCCACAAATGTCATAGACAGATTTAACCTCTCTGTTGTGTCTAAATGGATCCAAAATACGCAGGTTTTAAATAAATGTTATCAATCCAAATTGTTGCTAGGCAATCTCAAAGGTCCACATATTTGGAAACATTCAAAATGTGAAAGGAAAAATTGTAACATGCTATGAAAAGGAAAGTAGAAGAACCAAAGCACCTATGGTATGGATTTCATATATTTATTATCATTCATTAGAGTGAAGGTTTCTCAAACCCTTCTTCGGAAGTAACATCATCTCATAGGAAAAACAAGCACTCAGGTATTGGAAATTAAGGAGACAAAAAAGTTAAAATCATAATTACCACCTACTTCTGAAAATGAAGGCACCAAATGTAGCCCTGCTATCCAAAAAGAAAATGCACTGTTCCTCCTTAAGAATGAACCCACACCACACAGGAGTCTAACACTTTATCGACAAAAGCCTTCAAGGAGTCAACCCCAGTGGGTCACAGTGACATACAAAGCAGCAGAGTGCAGAAGCCTTCTTTGGTTCTGTGCACTAGACTGCAAACTGAGAACAGAGTCCACCGATCTAACATGAGGAAGCATGCACGGATCAGCTATACTTTTGCCCTACAGGTAGTAAATATAAACCCCCAACAGAACTGTATTTGTGCTGTTCTCATTTTTTCGTTTTTTTTTTTTAAATTACTTCCATAGTCCAATAATCAGTGATTTATGAAGACAGTTCATTACCCAGTTGAAAGAGAAAAGATGACTTTTCACTTCATGTAGTTAAGGGGAAAACATAAAAGAAACAAAAGACTAAAACTCCATGAAGTGAAAATAACAAGATACCATTACATACATACCAATAATTACTACATACCTACTAGAATGGCAAAAATCTAGAACACTGACAACACCAAATGCTTATGAGGATGTGGAGCAATAGGAACTCTCATTTATTTCTAGTTGCAATGCAAAATTATACAGCCCTTTGAACATAGTTTGCCAGTTTTCTATGAAACTAAACTTTTATTTTACGTTATGTTATGTTATGTTATGTTATGTTATGTTATGTTTGTTATGTTATGTTGTTATGTTATGTTATGTTATGTTATGTTATGTTATATTATGTGATGTTATGTTATTTTTTGGCAGGGTCTCACTCTGTAGCCCAGGCTAGAGGGCAGTGGCATGAACTCAGCTCGCTTCAACCTCCGCCTCCCGGGTTCAAGCAGTGCTCCTTACTCAAACCTCCCGAGTAGCTGGGATTACAGGTGCACATCACTATGCTAGGCTAATTTTTGTATTTTAAGTAGAGATGGGAGTTTCGCCATGTTGGCCAGGCTGGTCTGGAACTCCTGACTGCAAGTGATCCGCCCGCCTCAGCCTCCCAAAGTGCTGGGATTACAGGCATGAGCCCCTGCGCCAGGCTAAAACTAAACCTACTCTTAACTTACAGTCCAGCAATCTTGTTTATTGGTATTTACCCAAAGGAGTTTAAAACTTATGTGCACGCAAACATCTGCACATGGGTGTTTAGGTGTTTACAGCAGCTTCACTCATAATTGCCCAAAATTGGAAGCAACCAGGATGTCCTTCAGTAGGTGAATGGATAAACTGTGGTGCATCTAGACAATGGAATATTATTCAGGGTTAAAAAGAAATGCGCTATCAAGCCATGAGGAGATATGGAGGAACTTTAAATGAATGTTACTATGCAAAAGAAGCCAATCTGAAGAGGGTATACACTGCATAATTCCAACTATAGGACATTCTTCAAAAGGCCAATCTATGAAGACAGTAAAAAGATCCATGGTTGTTAAGGAATGGACAAGGAAGGAATGAACAGGCAGAGCACAGAGGATTCTTAGAGCAGTGAAACTACCCTATATGATACTGTAGCAATAGATACAGGTCATCATATATTTGTCTAAACCCATAGAGTATACAACACTAAGACTGAGCCCTAATGTAAACTATGGACTCTGGATGTTAATGATGTGTCAATGGAGATTCATCAATTGTAATAAATGTATCTCTCTGGTGGAAATGTTGATAATAAGGGAGGCTATGCACGTGTCAGGACAGAGTAAACCGGAAATTTCTGTAACTTCTGATCAATTTTGCTGTGAACCTAAACTGCTCTAAAAATAACATTTATTTTAAAAACTATGAAATAAGCTTATTTTCTGATCCCAAAGCAGGATCTCACAATAACTGTTTCAATATAAGGCCTATATTTGGAAACCATTACAAACTTCTAAAAATTGTCACATTTGATAATATTTTAAATTAATCACATATATTGAGGAAAATTACATGAAGAGATCTCCAAAATCATGGGCTTTTGTTTATTTGTTCTGTGACTTATTTTTGGAATTTCTTTTATGATGGCTTCTCTTCAGGATAAAATGAGGAAGCTAATTCATATCCCTGGGGTGAAGAATTTCAGATAATTCCTCGTGAGTGATGTTATCTTCCCAACTCTTTTACCCTTTTCATTCAATCTGAAGAGATATTGAATATTATTAAGATTATTATTTCAAAAGGACTTTAAGACAATTATTACATCTCCATCTTCAAAAGACAAGGTCCATTTCATTCTCCATTTGAAGGACACCAGCTCTTCACAAAATGATTCTCTGTACCTTGAATGTTGAATGAGGCGCTTTTCTCTTCTGCCTTCTTCACATACTATCCAGTAAAAAACACAGTGCTGCCACGAGAACTTTGCAAAGAAGGCCAATCATTACACAGACGAAGGCTGAAACTTTAACTCACAATATTATAACTTTTATTTTTTTTTCAGTTACCTTCCTTTCTAAAAATAAAATATGAGTGTCTACTTCAGGAGACTCTGGATCAAGCCCAATTAGCTTTCTATTATTTAAAAACACTATTGACCTTTAAAATCCTCTCTTTGCAAATATTCAAACCAGGGAGTACAGCACTTATTAAACAGCATTTTCCAGTTTGTTTCAATTATTTTTTTTTTCTGCTAGATTTTTAACTCGTTGAGAATAGAGAACCCAAGGCTGGTATATACCCACACACACCCACCTCCCCAATGCCAACATAAATCCTGGTACATTGTGGCTAATCATTTATGTTTAATTGCATTGATTTTATACTTAATTCAGATGGTCAGATGTAGATCAGCTTGTTAAAACAGATATATGATAATGTTGTATCTGAATTTATAGAGCGTTAATCATGCCAACATTGAGACTGTTCAAGTATTTTTTTAAAAAGTTTACGTGTTTAGTCATTTCTGATATTCCTGTCAATTTAGCACATCTCTTTTGAATCAGAAAATACTTTGGTTCAACTTCCTCTGATTTGTTTATGCTGTTAGGGAACCCATGGGTAATTCTATAGCAACTCAGCCTGTATTCTGCTGTCCCCTATATAGAATTTTTCTCATCCCCTCCACTTTCTGATTAAATTTCCTTTCCTTAAACTATCCTTGCTTCTTTTCTTTGCTGCCTCCAAAATTAGGTATAGGACAAAACTAGAGGGAAAAAAGGGGCTTATTTTCCCCAAAACTTCTATAAAATATTTTAGTATATATGTAAGGTCATCAGGTCAATTAATTTAACAAACATTTATTGTCTGTTCTGTGCCAAAGTTGTGTGCTAGGTGGTGTGAATTAAGAAAGTTTTGCTCTTTAAAAGGAGTCCTAATGTAATGGACTCTATTGTACATATCTAACTATTCTTTTTCACAGGAAACTCTCTAATTATTTTCCTCTCTGTATTATTTTCTGTGGTTGTTTTGCGGTTATCTGAAAATTCCAAATTTAATTTAATTAATTAATGATCAGACTTACTAGGCTTGTTATATTCCTTTCTAGTCTACATATTAACCCATTCCACCATTACATAATAATAATAATAGTAATAATGTTTATTGAGTGTGTATTAGGCTGCAGCATTAAACACTTCATATACAATATTCCATTTAGAGTTGTTAATAAGAACCATAATCCCAAATTTTACAAAAGCTAGGTGACTTGGAAAAATTTACACAGCTGGTAACACAGCTAGGTGAAGAATTCCAAACAGCTATTTCTGACTCTGGACACTTTATCCTAACACAATAAACACTCATCTTACTAAATTAAAACAACATGCAACTTGGTACATTTTCTTCTCACCCATTAAAAAAAATTAAACTATTTTTGAAAATGACTTTTATTTCTCTCCTTTGCTTCCCACTTTCTTATGGATAAGTCCATTTAAAGAATAATGAATCAACCGGAACTGAGCAAAACAAAAAGGCCAGAAACATGAGGGGGAAAGAATCTCAAGTGCCAACTGTTTTGCTGTCATTGTTGTTTTTAAGTGAGGAGTTCAGTAGGCTTTTCACATATACATTTTAAAGCCCTAGTTACCCTTGTGAGAGTAAGACCCGATGCCCTCTATCCAAGACCCTGTCAAAAATGTCTTTGATAGGCATGAGACTATGCCAGAATGCTTTAGTTTCTCTTTAAAATAGACAAAATTTGTATGCACCTCACAAGATAAATTGAGCAATTCATCATTTTCTGTTGAATTCTTAAAGAAAGTTGGGTGAAAAGTGATAAGTAAATGAATAATAATAGAAAAATGAGGCAGTGCTGTGCATGATTGGATAGCTTATTCAATCAAACACTTTATGAGATAATGAAATTTCTCATTATCAAAAGTCTGAATTCATTGGATAGTCTTATTCATTGTATAAGTCTCTATTGAGTATGTATAAATCTATGTTGAGTATAGCATAATTTATACCGTTATATATATATAATACACACATTGACTATAGCATACTTTATACCATTATATATATATACACATATAGACATATATGTGTGTGCCTACATATCCATATACTTATATATACACATATACATAGTTTTAGAATGCTCTCTAGTTTCACATGTTCTGTAAGTTAAAATTTTATTAATAACTTTCTTCCTCATGTAAACAGTGTTTCATCAAAATTTTTGGAAAGTCAACATTTTCTAAAACTTTTTAGGTATAAAATATAATTATGAAAGTTTTGACCAAAATAAAAATAAAAAGCCAGTAGGCAACAAATTGGACCATAATTTTCACTGTATTAGATAAGTCAAAACTGTTCAGGACAAAGAAATATAACAGACTCAGAACACTTTGAATATTAACAAAACTTTTTCTTGAACACAATATCTATTGAAATCATATTAAGGAAAGAGAAAATACCACAACATTTAAAAGTGTCAATAATGGTTTAATATAGAGCATGAATGCAAAGGGAATAGACAGCCTGTGCAAACATAAGCTTATCATTTTCTTCATATATCAAACAATACACATTCTGTAGAATAAGTACTTGGTTGATACATACAGGTTAAACATGTGCATAACTACACAATCAAGAAAATCTTACCACTTCTGTCAATACACTCTATGCGAAGCGGCAATAAGATCACACTTAACAATCTCCAGAAGAAAATGAGAGAGAATGAAACACCAAAAGCAATAGGTCAGGAAAGAAGCAGAGTTGTGAGTGGGAGAGGAGGCCATTATGAGTATCAGTAAGTATAACAAAATACATCTGAAATCTATAAGCTGCTCAACACATATATTTGGAATCACAGAAATGAAACTAATTATTTCCCGGGCATTTCAAATACCAAAAAGTATTCTCAAAGCTCCATTTCTCCCCTTTGCCTTGGTACAAAGTGTCTTTTCTATCCATGTCTTCCTGTAGAAGGTTTCAAGTTTGATTTTTTATATGTATATCAACAGAAGCCTTAAATATTAACTTCAGACCTCAATTATTACTAAATCATAATCAGAGTTTAATGGAATAACCCTTATGAAAAAATAAGGCTTATTCTGCATCGATTATTTCAAAGAAATAAACATGGTAAAGGGAGGCATAGTGTCACCAACTTTGTAAGTGGTGAAAATACACAGACATCTAAGCTGAACAATTAAAGGAAATCCAACAGAGTATTAAAGTTAATAGGGAAGAATCAATAGGAAATGGTGATATGATAGGAATTGAAGTTGACACTTCTAAATCAGATAGATAAAGTGGATATTTTGTTCAGTCGATATACCAGCACGGCTTTGTGTCAGAATTACATGTTGGTTAGATATTTTAATGAATCAAATACTGGTTGAGCTGAAGGCCAGTCATCAACCTGGCATAATATTTAAGGTCCTCACAGTATGTTACAACATTGGTAATATTTATACAAATAGAGAAATAATCTAAGAACAGTTTATCTTGATTATATTGTCACCAGTAAGAAAGAGTTGATTGATGATCAGTCACTACAAAGAAACAAATAGGAGGAAAATGTAGTAGGCTAAGCTGCTAAAAAAGAGTACAAAGAAATATTTTTAAGTATTCAAGTGAAAAAAATCAAACAATTTTAAAAAATAAACTTCAGTCATAAGAACTGTGTAAAACTAAAACATTATGCAATTATAATCAACTCTATTGATTATGTGATTATCCATTTTGCAGATACCAGAACCAAGACTTCCTAGCTGGACTAAGCAATTGATTAAACTCGCTACCTGCCGCCTTCTGCTCTTGCCACCCTCCATACCCAAAGAAGAAAGAAAGGAAACAAACCTTGTGGACTATCCACAGGATAACACAAGAAGGTAGTGCTCAACCACTGCTTCAAAAATCATTTCTTAACCTACATGAATATTGCATAATTTAAACATCTCCATGCATGCAAATCGGTTTTGCTAGATGATAAGCATCCTGAGAAGTTGAGCATCTGCAATTAGCAGCTGTTATCTTTAAATGATTTTACTGAGGTGAAATTCACAACACATAAAACAATCCATTTCAAAGTGAATATTTTTGTCATTTAATATATTCACAATGATATACAATCACCATCTCTATCTCATTCCAGAATATTTCCATCACTCCAAAGTAAAGACTCTTACCCATTTAAGCATCTTCTCCCTATTCCTCCCTCTCTCAAGCTACTGGAAATCACCAATCCGTATTCTGTCTCTTTGAATTTACCTATTCTGGATATTTCCTATAAATAGGGTCATACAATATGTGACCTTTTGCATCTGGCTTCTTTCACTTGGCACAATGTCTTGGAGGTTCATCCATGTTATTCCATATATCAGTAATTTATTCAATTTTATGACTGAATAATATCCCATTGTATGTATATACCACAATTTGTTTATCCATTCATTAGTTGAGAAAAATTTGGGTTGTTTTCACCTGTTGGCCATTTTGAATAGTGCTGCTATAAAATGTGTGACCATGTACCTTTCTGAGTATCTGTTTTTAATTCTTTTGGGTACATATCTAGGAGTGGAATTGAAGGGTCATGTGGGATTTCTGTTTTTAACTTTTTGAGAAACCATTGAATTGTTTTTCATAGCAACTGAATAATTTTACATTCCCACCAGCATTATACAACGGCTTTAATTTTTTCACATCCTTGCCAACACTGTGTGCATGTGTGTGTGTCTGTGTGTTTACAACCTAATGTGTATGAAGTCATCCCTCACTGTGGTTTTGCTATGCATTTCCCTAATGACTACTGATATGAGCATCTTTTTAAGTGTTTGATAGTCATTTGTATAGTTTCTGCGGTGAAATTTCTATTCAAGTCTTTTACCCTCTTTTTAATTAGGTGGTTTGTCTTTTGTTGAACTGTGTTCTTTATATAGTATGAATATTAGACTTTTATCAGAGATATGATTCACAAATATTTTCTCCTCCATTCTAGATTGTCATTTTACTTCTTTGATAACATTTTTGGTACATACAAGCTTTTAATTTTGATGAAATCCAATTTATCCATATTTATGTTATTGATATCATAACTAAGAATTCGTTGCCAAATCCAGGGTTATGAAGATTTACCCCATGATTTCTTCCAAAAGTGTTAATATTCATGCTTATATTTATGTTTTCAGTCCATTTGGGGTTAATTTTTATATATGGCATAAGGTAGAGATTCAACTTATTTTGCATTTGAAAATCCAGTTGAAATTACATATGAGCTTGAGAATTGGCATTTCCATTTCTGCAAAAAGAAAAAAAGACTATTGGCATCATAATAAGGATAGCATTCTGCATTGAAACTGTAAATCACTTTGGGTAGTATTCATATCTCAACATTACTTTTACCCTTCTATGAACACAGACGTCTTTCCTTTTGTTTGTCTTATTTAATTTCTTTCACCAATAGCTTTCAATATATTAGCTAATTTAATTTCTAGTTATTCTTATTCTTTGGAATGTTACTATAAATGAAATTGTTTTTGTAATTTTATTTTTAGATTACTTGTTCCTGCTATATAGAAACAAAACTGATGTTTTCTGTGTTGCTTTTGTAATCTCTAACTTTGCCAAATTTGATTATTTGCTCCAGAATCTTGTGTGCGGGTATGCACACTCACAAACGTGTGCCTATTCTTCAAGATTTTCTATATATATGATCATACCTGCAAACAAACAATTTTACTTCTTCCTAATTTGGATACATTTTATTTCTTTTTCTTGCCTAGTTGTTCTGGTTAGAACTTACAGTACAATGTTGAATAGCCATGGTCAGGATGGGCATCCTTATCTTGTTCCTGATACAGTCTTTCACTATCGAGAATAATGTTAGCTATAGGCTTTTCATAAATGTCTGTGTTTAAGCTTTTATAGGAACAAATATAACAGCTTGCAAATAAAAAGATGCCTGTGTTCAAGCTTGAAAACTCTCTAACAGTTTAAGCTGTTACAACAAATTACCATAGACTGGAAGGCTTATAAACAACAAAAATTTATTTCTCACACTTCTGAGGGCTGGGAAGTCCAAGATAAAGGTGCTAGCAGATTTGGTGTCTGGTGAGCTGTTTCCTGATTCAAGGATAGCCATCTTCTCCCTATGTTCTCACGTGGTTGAAAGGGCAAGGGAACTCTCCTCCAGGGTCTCTTATAATAAAGACACTGATGTCCTTCATGAGGGATCTGTCGTCATGACCTAATTAATCTCTACCAAAATCCCACCTCCTAATCACATTGGGAATTAGAATTTCAATATATAAATTTTGGGGGACAAGTATTCAGCCAATAGCAACGTCTTTCATCATGTTATGGAAGTTCCTTCTATTTCTTTTTCTTTTCTTTTCTTTTAAGACAGGGTCTCAGTCTGTCACCCAGACTGGAGTACAGTGGTGCAATTATAGCTCATTGTTACCTCGAACTCCTGGCCTCTGGCCTCAAGTGATCCTCCCACTTCAGCTTCCTGAGTAGCTAGGACTACAGGTGTATGTCCCTATGACTGGTATGTGTGTATATATATATATATATGATATATATAGTATATACAGGGTCTTGCTATGTTTCCCAGGCTAGTCTTGAGCTGCTGACCTGAAGCAATCCTCCTGCTCAGTCTTTCTAAGTACTGAGATTATAGTCATGAGCCACTGCATCCAACCACCTAATTTTTCATGAGCTTTTTTCTTTATCATAATAGGATGTTGGACTTTGTCAAATTATTTTAGAAGATGTTATTTTTGAGAAATTATATATTTTTTAAAAAAACATTGACTAAGAAAAACTATCTGAAAAGCTATAATGATAATCTAGTTCTTGTAACTTAAAAAAATGTATGTGTAGAGAATTGCATGGCAATCATGAGCCAGTAAGCTCAAACTCTGAGAAGATAATAGAATAAATCATCTAATAATCAATTTGTAATTATCTAGCAGAATATAAGTTAGTAGATAGCAAATTATATGAATTTAGGAAGTACAAATAAAATCTGAACAAATTTAATTTTTTCTATGAGACAGGAAAAAGTTATATAAAGAGGCTAGATTAGTTAATATTAGATAATCTTGTGTTTGAGTAATGCTGTTTTTTTTTTTAGTTCATAGAATTGCCATTTATAAGCCAGAACCAAATAGCATTAGTTTAGAAGAGATTTCTACTGAAGGCAATATCAAATTTTAAGTGTCATTGGTACATAAGAGAAACTCAGCATGTTTGTACATATTAAAGGAGATGTAAATAATTTCCATTTTGGGTAGTTACAAATAAAGCTGATGTAAACATTTCTGTACAAATTTTTATATGATGATGTTTTTCTTTCTCTTGAGTAAATATCTGATGTATTGGTTTTCCTTTGCCACTACAGCAAATTACAACAAATTTGTGGTGTTAAACAACACCTATTTATTATCTCATTATTTTATAAGTGCAAATTTTACGCACGGAGTCTCTCAACTGACTTGTCTGCTTAGAATCTCAGAAGGTTGAAATCAAGGTGTCAGCAGAACTGCACTGCTCACAAGACTATGGAATATTTGTTGTCAAACACATTCAGGATGTTGGCAGAAATCAGTCCACTCTCCCTCTTTTCATGCAGTCCCCTCCATTTTCAAACTAGCAAGGTTCATTGAGTCCTCATGCTTTGAGTCTACCTAATTTTCTCTTCCTTCAGCCACAATAAAGCTCCACATGTAACAGATCATATGATTATATTGCTCTCCTGAATAGTTTAGAATTATCTCCCTATTTTAAATAAATTGATTAGTAAAACTTAGTTAGATCTGCAAGGTCCAATTTACCACATAAAGTAACATTCCAGAGTGTAATACCAGAAGATAAAGTTTATGGGGGCCAAAATTCTGTCTACATGACTTGGGCCATGATAATTGCATGTGTAACTTACTGAAAAACAAAAACAAAAAACAGAGAACACTGGATAGCTGTTGTCTGTCTTGCACAGTTTTTGCCAAGCGATCTGCTGTAATTAATTTTTGCTCCTTTACAACTAGTGTGTCTTTTTTTTATTGTCTTCACAATTTTTCTCTTAATTTCTGCTTTGTACTAAATGTTTTCTATTAACTGTCACCACTACCTTATCAGTTTGAGTATAATGTGTCTGCATGTATGTTTTCTTTTTTAAAAAACTATTTTCTGTTTGTTTTGGCTTGGTTTGCTTTTCATTCTGTGTGAAGTTCTCTTAGCTGGAATTTTGCATTTCATGTCCCTTTCATTATTTTAGAAATCCTCAGCCATGGTCTTTTCAAATATCTTTTATCTTCTTGTTTCTCTCTCTTCTTCCTGTAATTCCACTTAGGCACATGTTCACATTTCATATTATTCTGCATCTCCTGATGGTCTACTCTGTCTTCTTTTTTTTTTCCTCTTCTCTTTCTGTTTTAATTTATATAATTCTTATTGACCTATATACAATTTTATCAATTATTTCCTTGGTTCTGTTGAATTTAATCATGAGCCCCTCAACATCACACTTTATCTCTCTTACTATGTTTTTACTTTAATTCTAGAATGTTACTCATTGTTTTTTCTTTTTTTTTTTTTTTTTTTTTTGTCTTGGCTGAAATACCCATCAGTCTCTTAAGGCATTTTGTCTTTTCTTTTAGGGGCTTAAAAATATTACTCAGAAAGCATTTTTTAATTCCTTAACTTACAGTTTCAATATCTGGGTCATCTCTGAATCTTCTGTTGAATGCTTTGTTTCTTGTATGTTTGGCTTTTCTTCTGTCTTGTGTACCACATAATTTTTCACTGTATGTCAGACATAGTACATAGAACAACAGAGACAAAGGAAAGAAGTATTTGTGATGAAATGGGCATACCTTTTTCTCTACTATGACTTTAATCTGGGAGGTGAGTTATTGCCAGGAAGTATGCATTATTTGGGTATTGTTTTGCCATAGATACTTATAGTGAATCATCAGCTCTAAATTCCCCCAGTAGTACTTTGTATTTAGGGTTTTGGTTGAATTATCAGGGAGCTTCCCTTTATGGTCCAGCTCCACTCGCAGCTTTATCCCTTCACTGTGCTTTTGCATCTCATGGAGAGTGTCTCTCCATGTGCATTATCTTACCCCACTGATTACTTATTTCTTGTTACTTACCCTCACTGGCATAGTAGTGGAAGGTAAGTAACTTATCTCTTTTTCCGATTCAGCCTCATTTTTATGTAGGGCCTTCATCCCTGGTACTCAGGTATGGGATTTTCTCAGTTACTCTAATTTTCCTCCTGTGATAGATTTATAATGGTCCTAACCCATCTCTTAGTGACTTACTTCTGTTATTTATGAAATGTTGGATTGGGTATATCTCTGTGGGTTTTTTTGTTTTGTTTTTTGTTTTATTTTGTTTTTTCCTGTGGTAGCTTCCCTTCTCCAAGGCTTATCTACTAAAAAATGCTCTCCTGGCCACCCTCAGTATTTCTCATGCCCACTCAGGAAGGTTGTAAAGTTGAGCTTGCCATGTATGCTGCTCTCAGTGTTCCATACTTGCATGTGAGACTCCACTCAGATGTTAGCAATGTGTTAAAATTGTAGCGGACTTGTTTTTATCTGTTTTTAGGCTTGCCTTGTCTACTCCTGCCTACTAACATGGGTGTTAGTACTTGTGCCCTATCTTTCTTTAAATTTCATGCTGGCTTTTTCTGTGACTTCAACTCTTTGGATTCAAGAAAAAATAATTTTATATATTACCTAGTTTTCTCTCATTGCTATGGTGGGAATAACACTCTTCAGTTTTCTATGTATTTAGAAGAGGCCTAAAGCCAATTATTGTGTATATACACATACATATATATATATAAAATGAATGATCATATGATCATATGTTTGGATAAATAGGTCCTTGAAAACAAGGACTGTGTTTTTATTTACATTCTTTTTGTATACATTGTCTTTGTCCAGAGAGTACCACATCTCAAGACCACAAGATGGCTTCCAGAGGCAATGGGGAATCAAGCTTCATTACCATATTTTACAGGAAAGATGTTCCATAATGTCATCTCTAGACTAAGCAAATTCAACGTAAATAAAAGGTGAGAAATTTCATTCCAGTAGAGATACGAGGCAAAAAAATCAATATCAAGATGATCTGAAGATTATTGAAAATGTCAGGGAAGTGAAATGCCTTTTCCAAAATTAGGTTTCTTTGCAAAAGAAAAAGTCTAATATGATATAAACCAAAATATTAAATAATTTGACTCTATAGGTTGGAATCTTAAGGAATTATGCTTTTATAGTAATTCTACAAGTGAATTATTACTTCTAAATTTCAAAAATGAAGAGAAAGGCAGTTTCAATGGACTAAAATAAGTTATTTCTTTTTTAAGAAAAGGAAAAAGTTTAACAGATGTCTAACCTAAATATTCTAACCAATAAAAAGTTGGTCTTATTTTAGTTTCTTTGTTTGGGTTTCTTTGTTTTGTTTTGTTTTGTTTTGGCCTCTTTCATTCACAGGGTTTGCCTGAGATATATCAGCAAATATCCTAGCCTGTGCTATTGACCTTGGGTAACACTCACTCACTCACAAATGTATATATTTACTTCCCATCTTTTAATAGACAATCTATATTTATGCTCTGGCACAACTTTATTTTTTTGGATCTTCAACCCAGAAATGTTCATCTTTGTTTTTGCATGTAATCTTCTGCATGCACTCCCTATACCTGTTGATTTTTTACTTCATCCAAGCCTACTGACTGTAAATATTGGCATTATCCCTTATTTCTTCTTTGTCTTGACTTTTATAATCAATCCCTTATCATGTTCTGCAAATTCTATCTCTAGAAGGGTCCGTATTTCCAAGCCCCATTTTCTACCCACTACAACTTTCTCCTTTCATCATTCCTACCTGAATCATTGCAGTTTCAGCCCCACTGACCTTATCATTTTTCAAAATTACTCATCACAGAGGATCTCTGTCATTTTTCAAAATTACTCATCACAGATCTCTTTACAAAATAAGTGAACTCATAGCATTCTATATTTTAACAAATGCAATAATGTCTCATATCTTGCAGAATTAAGTGGGGCTCTAATGTATATAGTCTTTCCTAGACTCTCATTATTTTATTTGTCTGCAAGTCTTAGATTGGGTTATATTATTCACAGACTGAATGTTTCATGAAGACTACCTTGAGCTAAACCCTAACCTCGAAAGATCTGAGCTAAATGCTCTTCCTAGCATTCCCAGCCTTTATGGTTACCAGGAGAGTCAACTCTGACTTCATTTCTGCAAACACTTCTTGAGTGTTTAAAATATGCCAGATGTTGTACTAAATATTTTATGTTTTTGTCATTAATTCCCACAATTGACCTATGAGATATTAACTACCGTTTTCTTAATTTGATTGCTGAAATACTTATTCACAGAGAGATTAAATGGCCTATATTCACATAGCTAGGAGATGGTAGAGCCAGTACTAACATCCAGGCTGACTCCAGGATACAGGCTCCTCATCACAAAAATACCCTCTAATTTTATTGATCACTCGAGTGCCAGAGCAAATATTTAATACTTCTAAATATTATTTATTCCTCTATGGTTTAATTTGAAATGTCTAATTTTTCTTCTTAATGGTTTGCAAGTTTTGAAACAAGAATTTTTATTCTATTACTTAAGTCTGTAATTCTTAGCAGTACATTGTACATAGTTGGTATTAAATACATGTTGGGTGAGTCAATCATTTTATTCTTACAGAATCTCCTAATCTTAATTAATGTTAGAGTTAGCTGATGAGTTAATCCTAGTGATTCTTATCATGCCACTAGTTTGCTCAAAAACTTTCACTGAATCTATACTTCTTTTATATAAAAGCCCCAATTTCTCACACTAGCCTTGGGTAATTCCATGGTCTACAGCTAACATTCCTTTCAAATGTCATATTACACTACCTTTCTTTACAAAGACTCTGCTCATCCAAAACTTGCTGTTTTCCTTATATACTTACTTTTTTCCATCTTTTTGCTTTGGCTCAACAGGTTCCTTACATCTAAAAGGCGTTTCTTTTTCTCACCTTCAAATGATCAAATTCAAAATTCGAGTTTTCTGTTTTACTCATGTCAGCCATCTAAACAGCTATGTTATCTGCACCATTTCAGTGATCCAATGTCTAATTTATCATTGTTTCTCCAATGTGATATATGTCAATACCTTGCAAGTAACAGGATATTCAATAAATGGTAAATAAGACAGTGAGAGGGGATAAAATCTTAGTATAAATTGTACATATCCCAAACTTAAGCAACATGACATAACTTTTATAAATGCTTTAAATGAGATAGTAAAATATATCATTAAAATAGAGATAATAGTCTTTTGAGGAAAATTAAATGGACTTGGATTAAACCTAGAGAATACTGTAACTCTAATATGCTTTATTGCATAAATTATAAGTAATTTTACAACACAATGAATTGAAAAGAAAAGAGCATTAACAAATTATGTCTTTAGACCAGAGATTAGAATGGAGAAAGATTTTATTCCAGTAAGGATTGAAATAATTATTTTGTGGGAGTATATACAAACTCCATTGCTACTCTTATAAATATTTCTGATTAGAGAGAAGAGTCTTTCTAGATATGTAGAAGGATATGCTGTTTTTCGACAGCGTATAGTGTAAAACAAACACAGGATAATATAAAATCAGAATTGAGTTCACTTAAACTACAAATCAGACTTCTATTTCAAAAGTTAATGAGAAACTATATAGAAGAATTATATAGGTGTATTGGGGGAAAACCAATTAGTTTACTGTGCTAGATGGATTGTTGGATTTGAATTAGGGAAATAAGTTAAATATGAAAAGCAAATGCTATTACTCTCTTTAAGATATTCTAAGTTTAATCTTACAATTCTAAACTTTGTACTAGTAACTTGACTTTGTAGGCAATTCTATGCAAAGAGGTAAATTTCAGAGGTCAGTTTTGGCTTATATTTCTAAACTGATGCATTGCTTTTTTTGCTTTCCAGTGATTTAAGAAGGAAAGAGAAAAGATTATACTCATTTATCTTCCTAACAATATCTGCCTTCCACACCATACTCTGCATCTCTAAGTTTAATTTTTCAAATAGCAAATAATTCAGTAGAGAAACGGCCTTTCTAAGGGAATATTTTTGTGGCAAGATAATTTTTGAAATATCCATTTATGACTTCTTTTTATATGTTAGCTATTTCTTTTCTAGTAGGCTCTGCTCTGCTTGCCTTGTGAAAGATTTGTGGTGGGTCTTCCAGGCTTTTGTTTCTGAACAAGATTTACTGAGACCTATTGAGGAGAACATATTTTTAAGGTAACAGAAGATCCAGTGAGAATAGGAAAATGGGAGAATAATGATTTATGCAAAGTATTTTCTCAAATATCAGAATAAAATAATCACCCCTATTCAAAGCCATACCTCAGGCTTTAGAAGATAGAGAAAAGGGGACAGCTGGGGTCATCCTCAAAGACAGACCATATACTGAATGGTATGTGTAGCTAGAATAATAATAGAGAAATGTCCTATCAAAGCCAACCTTGAGAAACATTGCTCCAGAACCATGGAATTTCATGCAAAATAAGGCATTATTTGAAAACATAATTATATTCTTCTATTGACTGAGCTGAGGTGTGTGTGTGTGTGTTTAAAGGTGAATTTACCTTCATCAGCAGCCATTTATCTACTGACTCTTATCCTCCATTGGCTGAGGATATCTCAACTGGCATTAATATCCTCCTATATATTTAATTGTATACATAGAATTATCCAGCTGCCATCCTCAAAAGTAACATCAAAAAAATATCAGAACAGGAAACAAGGTACTTTCAGAGAACACAAGTGTAGATGAATTGTTACCACCAAAGAGTAGGGAGTAGGGAGGGGAAGCCTGCATGCAATTACCCTTTATACATGTGTCTGAAGCCAGAAATAAAGCCAAGGGAACAAGGATGTTAATACAACCAAATTGGCAGTTCAAAAGGGTTCTGGCAGCAGTGTGGAAGGTGGGTTAGAAATTTTATTGCATGTTGTCAGACAAAATTGCCAAGATATGATGAGCTCAAAATTAAAAGTATGACAGCAGGAAAGAGATACACAGATGAATTGGAACAATTTTATGGAGATGTATAAGACAGCCCTGAGAAACAAATAGAAATGAGTAACAAGAGTTTACAGCAGGTTTTTAAGAATCTGGTAGATAGTTGAGATGTTCTCTGACATGAAAAGGGTAGAGCACTTTGCAAAAAGTTTGTAAATTTCATATTGGACATGTTATTCTGAGAAATCTGTGAGAAGTACAAATTTAAGCTTTCAGAGTTAAAGAGAGCGTTCTCAGCTGGACATAGTAACATTTTAGATTTTTTTTTAATTTTTGAGAAAGGAATGTTTTAGTATAAATAATTATCAGGAATTACAATTAAAGAAGTACAAATGGTCATAAATTGTATTGAAACTGTATGTTTAGTGAATTAAGTCACTGAAGAAATAATTAAATTGTACAATATCTGAAAAATGAGAAGCTTGTGCAGAAAAGCAGGATGTATAAAGATATTTTCTTATGTTGGCACACAGTTTTAAATTTCCAGACAACTTGGGAAATATATCCTTATTTAATATCCAAATCAGCTTATTAAAGGCACTTTGGGAGATATTATTTTTATTTGGAGGATAGAGAAACTGGTGGCCAGAGAAAGCAAAATGTCTCTCTACAGTTAATAACCAGAGTTAATTACATAGATGTGGTGTCATTCTCACACCATCACTCCATCCATTATGCTCTATTTTTTTTCAGGAAATTATAGATAATATCATAGTTACTCAGTAATTAGTTCTTCCCTACACATTATAAATGTTATTTTTAAAAGCCCCAAATTTTTTTATCTGGATTCCAGGGTCGATCATTTGAATCTAGCAATAACAAACTACCACAAACAGGATGGTTAAACACAGCAGAAATGTTTTTGTCTTAAAGTCCTAGAGATATCTGAAATCAAGAGATCTTCAGTCCTAAACATATCTGAAATCAAGAAGTTAGTAGAGCCATGCACCCTCTGAAACTTGTAAAGGAATCCTTTCTTTACTCTTCCTAGGTTCTTGTGATTTGCCAGCAATCTTTGGCATTACTTGGTTTGTAGAAGCATATATAGCTCCAATCTCTGCCTTGGTTGTATGCAGTGTTCACTCTGTGTAATTCTGTTTTCATATAGCCTTCTTCTTATAGAGACACAAGTCATATTGGATTAGGAGCACACCCTACTCCAATAGGACCTCATCTTAATGTAATGAATTACACCTCCAACTACCTTATTTCCAAATAAGGTTGCATCCCGGGTGATTGAAATTAGGAATTTGATGTATCTTTTTTTTATAACAACAAAACTCAACCCATAGCACCAACCATATCTAAGTATATTAGTAAATATTGTGTACCTCTAAGTTTAATCAAACAAATGTATTTTAAATATTGGAAGACACGTCTAGAAAATTCAGAGATAAAACTTTTGTATAAATTACATTAACATAACCCCCCCAGAATTTTATAATACTTAATTGACAAAAACAAAAGAATGACTTATCTTCTTACATTCTAATTTATATAATTAATATTTTTATTTTCCATGGTATAAAACAGCATGCTTTAGTTTTAGTTTACTTTCTATAATTTTAAAATAATTTCATGATAAAGACATAAAAAGATCATTTTCACTATGTTGATTTAAAAAGGATAATGTAATTTGCATTTTGTTTTATAAACAAAAAAATTACCATGAGAAAATATTATGTATATATAAACTAAATAACTTAATTAACAGTTTTAAATATATATTTTAAACAAATAACATATTTGCTATTTATACAAACATGTCTTTTTTAATGAGATGATTAATTCATGTAAATTCATATTATATGCATAAAACCATCAAAATAATACTGACTTTAGTCTTTACTTGATTAAGGACTAAATTTAATGTAACTCTTTGTAGACTGACATAGAACATATATTCAAAATATTTTGTAACTAAAGACATAGTCATACTGTTACTAAAAGTTCATTCAAAACATTCAAAATTTTTTACTGCATTTACCATGCCATTGAGAAAAGTAGATGTTTACTCTGCTACCAAGGAAAATGGTTTGAGGTAACTACATCAGAACACAGAACAAACTAAAAATTTAATAAATCTTACATTCTATTTCTCTCCAAAATACATCAGGTACATGTTTACTCAACAAAAGCAATCCAAATTAATGAGGTAATTGGAAATTCAGCAGTTAGAAATCCATATTTTTTCTCCTTTTTCATTGTAAGTGTAAAATAAATGAGGTCTATATCACTGCTTATAAATCACAGTTACTTTAAATAATGACTATTCATGTGCCTAATGTATAGGAATTATAGTAGGAAAATATTCATTTTTATAAATTTTTTTCATTCAACACTATGATATGCCAATTACTGTTACTAAACGCAAGCAACACACATAACACAGTTAAAAGAGAAATCAGCAACTCAATGAATGTCAAAGGTACTATGAACAAACACAATTTTCAACTAATTTTAATTATGTTGGCGAATTCTGCTCAAGTGCTAGGTATGTGGAGTCAGTTGACCTTTGATGCCCAATCCTTAACTATTGGGAAATGACACTAGGAGAGCTCTTGTCACTTCCCTTATGCAAATTAAAGAATAAGCAAGGAGCTATGCTATCTATTCTCCTCTGTGAACTATTGTTTAAGGGTTGTAGAGCCAAAGATATAGTTGCTGGCTTTTAAAAATTAGTACTTTGAGAAAATAAGATGAATGAAATCAAGTCAAGTTTTCCTTTCATCAATTATAGATTAAATAATTTTTGTGTGATGATCTAAAATTCTACCAATTATAAATATAGTGGAAACATGGTGAAATAGGTAAAAGCTAGAAATGCATGGGTTCACAGGTAGGCTCAATAGTCTTTCATTTAGATTTTCTTCTGTGAGCCATTTAACTTCTCAGTCTTCATTACCTCATCTTGCAAATAGGGAAAATAATTGTAACTTCCTCGTAGGTCTATTGTTAAAACTAAATAAGACAATCCATGTAAAGCAACTGACAGACAATAACTGCTGCATACATTTTAGCTGTAATAATCATAATGTAGTGGTTCTATACAACTGTTTCTATGAGAAAATATTAATACCTAGAAAATGCTCAGAAGACAATTCTTTCAAATTCTCAAACTGTGTACTTTTTTATAACAATTATTAATTATCATTATATAAATACATTATTACTCTTAACACATTTCTAGCTTATACCTCTACCCTCCAATTAATAATTGTGGCTCCACTATGATCCCAAGTGACCAGACAGATATAAAAATGGTCAGTATGCTTAACATAATCTAGGAAAATGTCACTTTTAGTCCCAACTTACAATATGTACAGAGGCAATTTTAGGCCAAACTTAATTCAATTTAACAGAATAAAATATATAGAATGTTTCAGAGGATTTAAGAGGTTAGATAATGGAATGCAAGGGAGGTGAGGCTGCTGGAAGAAATGTGGGACTCCAGAAAAAAATGAGATATTTAGATGGAGGATGAGGTTATATGATAGGGTATACAAAATAATTTTCCTTTTCTGACTACACACAAAAGTTGTCAGAAGCCTGATTATTGCTTTTTCAATATGATAAAATGCTAGGTTCTACTTCAAAGTGTCTCCTGAGTGACAGCATGAGCTGCTCATGAGGATCTGGTTAGATCCACAACATAAAAAAGTGTTGTTGTTTCTCATAATTGTTTGTAATTCACTATACTGAGGGAGGATGGTGAGGTGGAGGGGAAAAAACATTAAAAACAAAATTAAATTTTATGTTGGTTTTTTAATTCAAGTAAGCAGCTAATTTTAAACAATGAATTCAACTGAATTCAAGTTATGATTTTTATTACACAAATCTGCTCATAATACATATAAGAATTTCTACCGTTAACATCTCTGTTATTGATCACAATAAAAGGCTTGCCTATTAAACTACAGAAGTTTTTATTTAAATTGTCCAAGATATTAAAAGTAAACATGTTTCCTAAATTATAATCAGATTTAACCTTTGTAGCTTACAGGTCATGGAAACTATGTCCTATAAAATCCAATTTAATGGAAAAATCTACTCATAAGAGAAAAAAATTATAATGTTACTTTATGTAGATTCTGTGACTGATACATCTTTAAATCATCTCATATTAAAATATAGGAAAGTTTAAGATTATTTATACTCTTTCAGGAAAAAAAGATAATCCAGTGGATACAAAAAAAGAGTCAAGTTATACATTTTTGGATTATCATTTCCTGCCCACGATTTACTATTACATGAACTTGGGGTGGAAGAGCATGCATGGGTGATAAAGTGGTCGGGAAACAAATGACCTGTGAAGAGGTGAATTCAGTTGAATAGTCTTTGTTAATATATTTTTCTTCCACGGATAATAGCATAAATTGGTCTCTAACAACAGCTCGAGGGCCTTCTGGCAAGGACTAAGTGACCACCCTTCAAGACTTCAGTCTGTCAATCAAATCTTAGGAAAACTTGTCCTTAAGAAAGAGGAGAACTTAAAAAGGAAATAAAAGAAAACTTGAAAAGAAAAAAGAAGAAAGGGGAAAAGTGGAGCTTGAAGGACATTATTGACTCAGTATACAGATCAGTAAAAAGAAATGAAATAGAAAAATATAAAATAAATAAAATAATTTGAAGAGCCAAAAATGAAATAAAGTTCTTGGGCTGATTTTAACCCACTATGCTGAATATTTTATGATTTATATATACTGTGATTTTTATTATCAGGTTGCCTACTACAGGTAGCATTACTGACCAAGAACTCTTGCTGCTACACTTTGAATTTCATCTTTGTGTTTTGCACTGAGAACAGTTATTCTAGACAGACCATTCCTTAGAAACATGAGCCTCTTTTTGGACTGAATTTCACTTAAGAACTGTCCACTGGTGTTGCCAAACCTTTCATATACTGGAAGGCCATCTAAGATGCTTCATCCAACATTTTCTTTCTTTTCCCTTCACTCAGAGTTAGGCTGCATTGCAGTCTGACAGCTTTCCCCAACTTTCCTGGCTACCTACTTATATGCTTTTACTTATACATTTTCCCTTATGTAATCCTTATATGTTTATCCTGTCTTGATATTTTGTATTAGTCCATTCTCACACTGCTATAAAGCCCACAACTGGGTGGTTTATACAGGAAAGAGGTTTAATTAACTCACAGTTCCATGTGGCTTGGGAAGCCTCGGGAAACTTACAATCATGATGGAAGGTAAAGGGGAAGGAAGAACCTTCACACGGTGGCAGGAGAGAGAAGTAACAACAGGGGAAATGCCAGACACTTATAAAACCATCAAATCTCGTGAGAATTCACTCACTATCACAAGAACAGCATAGGGGAAACCATCCCCATAATCCAGCCTCCCTCCAGACCTCTCCCTCAACATCTGGGAATTACAATTCAAGATGAGATTTGGGTGGGGACACAAAGCCTACCTCTATCATATTTGTTTCTCAAAGACTAACACAAATTTGTCTTTCACTTAATTACTATATTATCTATGTATTATTTTAAAATTTGCCATTTCAAATCGGGAATAGGATATGTTAGCATAAATAACATTGTTTTGTGACTGGTCTGTTTTCTGAGTAGAAAGTCAGATACCTTGTCAGTCACAGGTTATTTTCAAATATTTTTTTTCAGCACCTACAACAGTGAGAATACTTCGTTTGAGAGCCTGGACTTTAAAGATAGTATAGCCCATCTCCAGAAAGTTAACCACCTATACCCCAAAACACTTCTCTTAACAATATGAAGAGTTTCATATCAATATCCCTATGCTTTTATCAACAAAAGGAAAAAATATGTGGGGAAAAATTTGTTCTAAAGAGAAAACACTATAAAAAGATTTTTTTATTTCTAGGAAAATTCAATATCTAGAAATAACTAAAAAGTCAAGAAATAATATCTATGATCTCCAATGTAAATAACTCACTTCTTGGCCTCTCAGTCTATATTGTGAGTCAAGAAATATAAATATGAATAATCATAATTATTTAAAAAGTTATATTGGCTGTCTGCTATATTTAAAGCACTGAATAAAAGCAGCCATTTAAAAAATGGCCCAGAATCCTACTCTAAAGAGCTCTCAGTCCAATAGGGGAAACACAAACATATATTATTTTATTATGTTACATTTTATATAAGTTTGTCGTTTATCAAAGTGTTGTGGGAAGACAGAGGCATTAATCATTAATTCAGACATGAAGAGTTAAAGATAGTTTGACAAATAAGTTTATATTTCAGCTAAGCCTTAAAGGAAAAGAAGAGGTTTACTAGGTGGTAAGTAACATTAAAATTCTAAAGCAAATCAAAAAGTTTAATGATAAAAAAGACAGCCTATAAAAATCAACAACTGGATTATAAATTCACTTTATCATAAGAGACTTGGGCAAACTTTTATACATGTTCTATATAAATTATATTAAAAACAAGAAAGAGAATTACTCATAATATATAAAGTTAATATAAATAAATGAGAGGAGCAATTATAAATTATAAAAATAATATATTGACATAATTTAAAGAAAAATGAAGTATGGTAGAATTCTAGGCAGGGCTAGAAATTGTCCAAAAAAATAGTGAATTGAAGACTACACTAAGAAATTAACTTAGAACACATAACAGAAAGTCAAAAAGTTGGTAAATTTATGTGTATATATAATTCATGTCTTATATGTAACAGCAGTTATAAGACAGAAGAAAGGAATAGAGAAAATGTTTTAAAAGAAAGCAAAATTTAAAGAGAATTTTCTCTAAAAAACTGAAGACTTTTTAAATTGAAGAAAGGAATAATAGTATTCTTACATGAAATGTGTATTCTGAGTTTAGTTCAAATAACATAGCACTCACATACACCCCCCCAATCCTGAAAACAATCAGAAAAGGAAATTTTTAAAATAAGAATGAAAAACAAATAAAACAAAACAAAATAAGCCAAACACTGTTCTGAAGATTTGGACAGCTATCAAGGAAGTCAGAGTTCAGAGGCTAAGATACCAGAGAGAAGGGAAACTCATTGAGATGAGCCTACAATTCTAGGCAGCATTTAAAAAGGCAATTAAGGATTCCTAAATAGTGTGCACTGAGAGACAAAGAAGCTGAGCAGTAATGTGACAACCAGCTGCACAGCTCCAGTCTCTTCAAGAGAAAGGGGAAGAAAATTAGAATTTAGAATCCACTAAGAAGGAAGGGCTCTCTCAATCAACTCAGAATTTCTGTTTAGAATTCTGAAAAATTACTCTCTATGACTAAAGTAAATAAGAAATAAGCAGGCAATAAAGAATGAAAGCAAACCTTGAAACAGCACAATTCATGGTTAAATTGAGGTGATGTCGTTTTATTCGGAATGCTCGATAGAAGCTAAGGTAACTACCCATTTGAAGGAAGATAAGAACTTACAGAATTTCTGGAATGTATCAAACACAATGCTCAGCATCATTCAAAAATTGCCAGTAATACCAGAAGACAGCAACAGGAGAGAAAAAAATCAAACGATAGAATAAAACTCTCAGTGATTTAGATATTGAGAGATAGGCCTTTAACATATGAATATGTTCAAGATTTAAAAAGAACTGATTAACATCTTAAAGATAAAAAGATGAAAAAATTAACTCTGTACAAAATCAAATGGAAATACTAGAAGTAAAAATATGTAACTAATATTAAAAACTTAATAAATGAAGAAAAGATTTGTGAGCTAAAATAAATATCAGTAGAAAATATCCAAACTGAAATAAACATGAACAAAAATAAAAAATGTAAAAAAGAGAATAAGGAAAAATTAGGGACTGTTGAAATGTTCTAAAATACTATAATTTAGTTCCAAGATGATGAAATAAAAGGAATGAAGAAGTAATATTTAAAGAAATAATAGACAAGAATTTTCCAAAACTAATAAAATTTTTTTCGTATATTTATGAAGCTCTAGAAAACTCAGTCAAGATAAATGGAAACAAAACTATACCAAGGATCTGAAAACCAAAGACAAAGAGAAAAATCTTAAAAGTAGTCAAAGAGTTTCAAAAAGAGTAATGATAAGATCAAAAGATATAATGAAAGCATATGGATAATTAATCTGACCAAGCCATCTTTCTTTCTTTAACGTGCCATCTTCCAGTATAGGGAGAGAAACTATTAGCACTTTCTTTCCTAACCCACATTCTGACTTTGATACTATTTCCTTTACATACTTTTCAGGTGTGTTTCCATAGTTTCTCTGACATTTTATTTACACACAAAAAAATCTACTACCAGTGCAAAGACCACCAGAATTTGAAACATAGGTAGTAGGTAGTAGGAATTTGCTCTACAAGGCATGTGAATCTTAGCCACACCCACCCCCAGGTCTTTTGATGTTCTCCTTCCAGTTCCATTACCTTTTCCTTCATCACCCATAACACATGTTGATGGGAGGATTTAAGAGATTGTGTGAATTTTTAGCACTTAATTCGTTTCTTTTCCTTACCAACTGGCTTCCATAAGCGTTAATTACATCAATTAAAGTTTCCAAATTAAGTTCCCCCAAAATGTTCTGATTCTAGAGTCATTGTCTCCTATAACACAGATTTTTATTTAATTCTCTCAGTAAATTTAGTAAACGTTGGTTACAGCAAACAGCTGTGGCAACTAGATTAAAGTAATATTTAACTAAGTTAAAATTATAGTAACAAGGGTGGCAGGCGAGAATTCTACCACTGAACCACCAATGCTGGGGCCTGTTGTGAGGTGGGGGGAGGGGGGAGGTATTGCATTAGGAGATATACCTAATGTAAATGACGAGTCAATTGGTGCAGCACACCAATATGGCACATGTATACATATGTAACAAACCTGCACATTGTGCACATGTACCCTAGAACTTGAAGTATAAAAAAAATTGTATGTGAAAAAAAGAAATTAACATATAAAACTTAATAGCATTTCTATAAACCAATAACATTTGGCTCTTATCTGAGAGCCATATCAAGAATGAAATCCTTTTACAATGGTCACCAAAAAATAAAATACCTAGGAATACATCTAATCAACGAGGTGAAAGATCTCTATTAGGAGAACTATAAAAGTTGCTGAAAGAAATCATAGATGACACAAACAAATGGAAAGACATTCCATGCTCATGGACTGGAAGAATCAATATCATTAAAATGTCCATACTTCCCAAAGCAATCTACATTTTCAACGTGATTTCTACCAAACTACCAACGTTATTCTAAAATTCATATGGAACCAAAAATGAGGCTGAATAGCCAAAACAATCCTAAGAAAAAAGAACAAAGTTGGATACATCATATTACCCAACTTTGAACTATGCTATAAGGCTATAGTAACCAAAACAGCATGGTACTGTTACAAAAATAGACACATAAACCAAGGGAACAGAATACAGAACCCTGAAATAAAGCCACACATCTACAGTCGTCTGATTCTTGACAAAGTCAACAAAAGTAAGCAAGGGGGAAAGGTCCTCCTATTCAATAAACGGTGCTGGAAAAATTGGCTAGCCATGTGCAAAAGATTAAAACTGGACCTCTGCCTTTCACCATATACACAAATTAACCCAAGATGGATTAAAGACTTAAATGTAAGACCTCTAATTGTAAAAATCCTAGAAGAAAAGCTAGGAAACACCCTTTTAGACATCAGCCTTGACAAAGAGTTTATGGCCATATCCTCAAAAGCAATTGCAACAAAAACAAAAATTGACAATTGGACCGAATTAAAGAGCTTCTGCAGGGCAAAAGAAAACTAACAACAGAGTGAACAGACAACCTACAAAATGGGAGAAAATATTCACAAACTATGCCTCTGAAAACGGACTAATATCTAGAATCTATAAGGAACTTAAATCAACAAGCAAAAAGCAAATAACCCCATTAAAAAGTGGGCAAAGGACATGAACAGACACTTCTCAAAGGAATGCATACAAGTAGCCAACAAACATGAAAACAAAAATGCTCAACATCACTAATCATCAGGGAAATGCAAATCAAAACCACAATAAAATACTAACTCATACCAGTCAGAATGGCTATTGTTAGAAAGCCAAAAAATAGCAGAAGTTGATGAGGCTGCGGAATAAAGGCAATGCTTATACACTGTATGAATGTAAACTACTTCTGCCACTGTGGAAAACAGTTGGGAGATTTCTCAAAGAACTAAAAATAGAGCTACCATTCAACCCAGCAATCCCATTATTGGGTATATACCAAAAGGAAAATAAATTGTATGACCAAAAAAAAAAAAAATATATATATATATATATATATAGTCACATGCTCCATTCTTATCCAGTAAAAATGATCTTAAGGGTATATAGTCATCCTCCAATTTACATGTTTCATTTAAATCATACTTCTTAAAATTAGATTTGAATTACACCTAATACACACACACACACACACACACACACTCACACACACTAGACATTTGTCTTGACACTGTGAAATCTAGGGGTTGAGGGCCAAGAGCTCTTTCAGTCCTCCAATGTTGTTAAGGTGCTTGCCTTATTCAGAGAAACAGAGCTGTCAGAGTAGCGGACTGGAAATTCTGGCAAGAGGTGATCTCGTAGTCTTAAATCCAAGGATAGTCTGGAGGCAGAATTCCATCCTCTTTGAGAGACTTCAACCTTTTTTCTTAAGGCCTTTAACTGATTGGATTAAGCTCATTCACATTATTGAGGATAATCTGCTTTACAGAAAGTCAACTGATTAAAATGTTAATCATATAAAAAAACCTTCTTATTCCAGTCTATCATTGTTGGACATTTGGCTTGGTTCCAAGTCTTTGCTATTGTGAATAGTGCCGCAATAAACATACATGTGCATGTGTCTTTATAGCAGCATGATTTATAATCCTTTGGGTAAACACCCAGTAATGGAATTGCTGGGTCAAATGGTATTTCTATTTCAAGATCCCTGAGGAATCGCCACACTGACTTCCACAATGGTTGAACTAGTTTACAGTACCACCAACAATGTAAAAGTTTTCCTATTTCTCCACATCCTCCAGCACCTGTTGTTTCCTGACTGATCGCCATTCTAACTGGTGTGAGATGATCACCATTCTAACTGGTGTGAGATGGTATCTCACTGTGGTTTTGATTTGCATTTCTCTGATGGCCAGTGATGATGAGCATTTTTTCATGTGATGTGACACATATACACCATGGAATACTATGCAGCCATAAAAATGATGAGTTCATGTCCTTTGCAGGGACATGGATGAAGGTGGAAACCATCATTCTCAGCAAACTATCGCAAGGACAACAAACCAAACACCTCATGTTCTCACTCATAGGTGGGATTGAACAATGAGAACACATGGACACAGGAAGGGGAACATCACACATCAGGGCCTGTTGTGGGGTGGGGGGAGGGGGGAGGGATAGCATTAGGAGATATACCTAATGTTAAATGAGGAGTTGATGGGTGCAGCACACCAGCATGGCACATGTATACATATGTAAGTAACTTGCACATTGTGCACATGTACCCTAAAACTTAAAGTATAATAATAATAATAAAAACAATTTCACAGCAACATCTAGGCTGATCTTAGACCAAGCAACTGGGCATGAAGCCTAGCCATGCTGACACATAAAATTAACCTCTGAGTGCTACAACTTCTCAGTGGAAATGCAGTTAACTTTCTCTGTGTCTATGCCTTTCTTCAAAAGTTACCAGAATGACTCCACCTTGTTGAGTCTTTTATCATTTTTTCAACATCCCCAGCTTTCTATTTCCCCCTTTGTGCCACTTCTTTTTCTGCATGGTACAAGTGTAGAGTTTTCATAATAAAGCCCTATGTATAACAACTGAGGCAACAGGTAACTCTCTTCTGAATATTCTCTTGGCTTCCTTCAAGCAAGGGTACATAAGGCTTTATGTATAAGCAAACTAGGTTATGCTGGGCTAAAAAGAGCTCCAAATCCTGGCCCAAACAACAACAGAGATTAATATACTTTCAACTCCACTTCTGTTGGTGAACAACCACAGCTCTTTTCCTTATTAATTTCATTCCAGAACTCAGGCTCTCCCTAAAGCAGCAGTCCGCAATATTTTTGGCACCAGGGACCAGGTTTGTGGAAGACATTTTTTCCATGGACTGGGGTAGAGGGTGGGTGTTGGTTTCAGGGTGAAACTGTTCCACCTCAGATCATTTGTCATTAGATTCTCATAAGGAGCATGCAGCCCAGATCCCTGGCATGCAAAGCAGTTCACAACAGGGTTCACGCTCCTATGAGAATCGAATGTCACATTTGATCTAACAGGAGGCAGAGCTCAGGCAGTAAAGCTCACTCACCCATTGCTGACCTCCTGCTATGCAGCCTAGTTCCTAACAGGCTACTGACCATTACCTGTTCATGGTCTGGGAGCATTACAGTTCTTGAGGTAGAGGGAAAAGAGAGATTTTAAATCATATATGATCTCTGCCCTAAAATGACATATGTCACTTCTGTCCACATCTCTTTTGCTGGAAAAATTCTGAGTTAACCAGTGAGTCTTTATAATATTCTATTTGTTTCTGGTAAATTATATGTATTTAAAGCCAAAGATCTTGTCTAGATAAAATCTTTAAGGCTAAAGACTCCATTCTTCTACTAGTCTTTGTATACTGTTCTTCCCCTGGCCCTTAGCTTAATGACCACTGCCTTAAAGCAATTTTAAAAATAGGTCTTTTTGTTGTGGGCTCCTGCTCTTGTTTAGTGGAAAACACTTAAAGAAAAGTATTCTGGGAAATCTTGCCACTCCATTATGCCCTGATAAAATTGCAGCTTCAAAACCACCATAATAACCATTATAATTTATAGTCTTTTTCAACACTAGAAACTGCAAATTGTGGAACTCTCAGTTAATTTTGACTGTGGGTCACAAATTCAGAGTGACTCTTAGGAAAGAATGTTTTTCCCCATTTCTGGCTCAAATTTGTCTTGCAAGCCTCCTCAGAAAAGAACAAGAAGTATCCAATATTCTATTTTTTTCTTCCATTTCCCTAACTTTTACAACGTCAATCATTACCTTGGTCTTCAACCCAAGCAGAACAATTTGACCAGTTGTTTCATTGATGTATATCAAGAGTCAGTAAGTTTCCACTCCGTGGTGGTTAGAACTCTTCTTCTAGCCCCATCTCAACTGCATTCCACAATATTGGTTTTGATATTCATTAAACTACTCTTTCATGAGCCAAATCTTCTTTCAAGTAGGGATTGTGTTCATCTGTATATATAAAACAGAAACTTAACTATCTAAAAAATTTTCCACAACTAGCATCTTCTATGTCTATATAATTAGGTGGAACTAGGAGTCACAAGACTACTCCTAGTTACAGAAGTTGCTAGAAAATCTGGTTTTAAGCTGAGCTCATTGCCCTTCTGAACACAAAGTTTTCTATTAACACGAGAGAATTAACACTGTGTAGGTAACCAGAAATCCTGCCATAGTGACCACATGCCTTTGCCAAGAACATTTAAATGAATATAAATCTACACAATGATAATATGGTTTTAGCATCACAACTATACATGATAATAACAACAGTTTCCATAAACAGAGTTACTTCTTTCTGAACATTACCCCAATTATCTTATTGAATTCTTACAGAAAATTTGCAAGCACATCTTTATATTAATTTGACTGATGGCAAAAGTGAGGGTCGTTTAGCTGGTAAAAGGCAGAGCCAGGGATCTAATCCATTCTAAAACCACAGTCAATTTTATCCACTATACATGTGCTGTCTAAATCTTATAACTGGAAAGAGAAAAGCTTACAAGCAACTATATTGAAAATAACAGGACCTATTAAAGCAAATAATCTCCACAGAACTCATTTAATAAGTAAATCAAAACTATACAACATCAGCACTTCAAATATTTGTCAGTGAATTCAAGCAGAAAAAATGCTTTTGATTCAGCCTTAGCCAAGAATTCACTTGAGACATCTGAAGGAAAGACTTAAGGAACAAGTTAACTGTCGATTTATTTGGATTCTTTATGGTTTATTCCCACATTAAGAAAGAAAATCAGGTAATATTTCTGGAGTATATTATTTTAGCTCCTTGTAGAAAGGCTGTCTCATTTGTAACCCAAAACCATCACTAAATGCAATTTAATGTTGTAAAAAGTCTATATGATAGATATTTGTTTCATTAATATAAAAGAAAGATATGAAGAAAGATAGAGCTCATTTTGTTACTTATTACCGATTTTATAAGAATCATATGATAAATATGTAAAATATGGTTCCATAGACAGAAAATATTTAAAGACAATTTTTAGCCCTATATAACAGGAAATGCTGAATTGAAATGCCCTATTGCTATAACTAATTACATGGATAAAAGATGGCACTGTTGCCAACTTCTAATGTGTTGATCTGTTTTAGTATGTTAACTTTCTTCTTTTATAATATGAGTCACTGTTAATTCTTTTTGAAATTAACCTATGTAACTTACACAGGAAAAGTAACATATATGACAGATTGTTAGACAAATTTACTTATATTCAGAACAGTCTTAAGAATATAATCTGTTTGAGAAGTATGCTTTACCATTACAGAGTGAGCTTTATTTTTAAAAAGGATAGTTTGAGAATTTCTCTAAGAACTATTTCTTTTGAATAAATCCAGGTCCTGTTTTCAGAATGAAATTCCTTTACTATATGATTCTAAAAATGTACATTCTTAAAAATTTAAAACTAAGAAGAGTAAAAGGACAAATTATCTTCTAGAGAGCACCCTATGATTCAATTATGTCCCACCGGGTCCTTCCCTCATCATGTGGGAATTATGAAGCTAGTATTCAAGATGAAATTTGGGTGGGACACAGGCAAACCCTATCAATAATTAAAAACAAAAATCACATGATCATCTCAATGAATGCAGAAAGAGCATTTGACAAAAATCCAGCATCCCTTTATGATTAAAACCCTCAGCAAAATCATAGAAAGAATGTACCTTAATGTAATAAAAGCATAGAAAGGATGTACTTTACTGTAATAAAAGCCATCTATGACAAACTCACAGCCAACATAATACTGAATGGGGAAAAGTTGAAAGAAATCCCCCTGAGAACTGAACAATACAAGGCTCACCACTTCTATTCAATGTAGTACTGGAAGTCCTAGCCAGAGCAATCAGAAAAGAGAATGAAATAAAGCATATCCAAATCAGTAAACGGGAAGTCAAATTGTCTCTGTTTGCTGATGATATGATCATATACCTAGAAAACCCTAAAGACTCCTCCAAAAAGCTCTTAGAACTGATAAATGATTTCAGCAGAGTTTTAGGATAAAAAACTAGTGCACACAAATCAGTAGCTCTGCTAGACACCAACAGTGACTAAGCTGAGAATCACATCAATAACTCAACCCCTCTTATAATAGCTGCAAAAACATAAAACAAAATACTTAGGAATATACCTAACCAAGGAGGTGACAGACCTCTAGAAGGAAAACTACAAAACACTGCTGAAAGAAATCACAGACAACACAAACAATCATAAGGGTGGGTCTTTCCCATGCTATTCTTGTGATAGTGAATAAGTCTCATGAGATCTGATGGTTTTTTAAAAATCAGTTTCCCTGAACAAGTTCTCATTTTCTCTCGTCTGCTACCATGTGAGATGGGCCTTTCACCTTCCACCATTATTGTGAGGCCTCCCCAGCCACATGGAGCTGTGAGTCCATTACTGTAGTTCCTTCACCAAAAAGCACTACCTTTGACACTACTGTGTCAAGAAGTCACAGACTGTATCTGTTTGCTACTGGAAAGTCAGACTATCACATGCTAATCCATTCTATTATATTCACAATTAATACCAACCACCATGGTCAAAAATTTTATCCAGCAAATGTTTTTGCTTGTTAATACAGCTGGAAAGAAATAGTCATAACACATTTCAAAAATTGTGCATTCTTATTCATTCCAATCCAAAGAAATTGCTATTGGAGTTTTCTCAGATGTTTGATACATCATTGAAAACTAATTATAATGTTTACAATTAAATATTGATAGAAAGTATCATTAAAATAGTCAAACTCCATTACAAATTGAAACACTGCTCAGTTTCATGACTGATTAAAATATCTTCTCAGAAGATAGTCTCAGAAAAGTATCCAGGAACCACTTTTCTGGTAAATAATTTTGATGTTACAGTATTTCAGATGTTCTGTCCATTTAACACATTTATATTCATAATAAATAAATACAAAATAATCAAGAGATTTGCATTTTTTGAAGTTACAAATGGTAGCTTTAAAAAATTTATTGGAATCTAATTGATTTTCTAAAATAAGTTATTCTAGTTTAGTTTACGGTAAATCATAGACATTTAATAAGTTATGTAAATGTAATATCTAGTGGCTTTGTAGGTATGTGTTTATACATATTTCTTTGTGAAGAACTTTTTATTTTACTTTCTAGTGTTTTGATATAATACTAAATATATCTGCGTGTCTTCTTGGTTTTATATTGAAGTTATGTTTTCTTAAAGCTCTTCCTCTTAGCTACATCTTTATTTGATTTGGCTTCATTTGATTTGATTATTTATTTTTTGGAGACAGGGGCTTACTCTTGTCACAGGCTGGAGTGCAGTGGTGTGATCAGGGCTGACTGCAGCCTCAACTTCCCGGGCTCAAGCGATTGTCCCACCTCAGCCCCTCCCAAGTAACTGGGACTACAGATGTGCACCACCATGCTGGCTGATTAGCTGTATCTTTATATTTGACTTAATCTTCATTTAAGACATTCAGATTTTCACCATAAACCCTATAAAAAGAAGAATTTCTTCTCTATTGAGTGTCTCTTTTTCCTTAGAATCTGAGAGTTTCATATAATAAGCACTCAGTAAATATTTACTGCATTAGAGAATGAATAAAGGAATGAACAACTATTTTGGAAATTCATTCCAGTGCCCTGCATTTACAGTGAATTCTTTCTATTCAGTACATATTAAGCAAAAACTCCATAATTTTTACTCATAATTTTGTGTCTATGTACAAAATGTTGAGCACAAACTTTGGGGGAAATTTTCCTCAACACAATTCTATTTGTTTTCTTTGGAAATACCGATTAAAATTTCATATTTCCACTCAACATCAAAATTATTTCAGAATACAAAGCAAATAAATTTACTCATCATATACTAATTTCTATAATTTAAGGATAGAAAATGGCATTCATATAGTTACATATGCATAAATTTAAACAATATTATATTAAATATATTTAATATATTATATATTAAATAATATATATAATATATATGTAATTTTATATATTATATATAATATACATATTATATATTATATATAGTATACATATTATATATAATATTATATATAATATACATATTATATATAATATTATATATAATATACATATTATATATTATATATAGTATACATATTATATATAATATATTATAAATGCATTTGGATAAATGCATTTGGATACTAAATTTCAAAATATTTATATGAAAACTTTTACTTTCTAATGTAAAATAAAAATTGTGAGATTTTTTATGTGGGAAATATTTATTTTCAAATTGTAATGCCAATTTTTCCAATGTTAAACAAAAGAGAGATTGCATTTATTTAAATAATTTATAAGAAAGAATTTATGTTGCCTGTTCCCTTTTGGTTGAAAGATGGCATTGTTAATACGTAGAATTGTATTCACCTGGTAAAGACATCATTCACACACTCCATAAAGTTTAATTTTAAATTAAAAGAATTTTTGCTCTGACATTAATCCTATTAACAGAATAGAGAATTCAAAATTATGTCAAGAAGCAACACAAGCTTTTAACACTGTAATAATTGGCACTGTTCTGTAGATGATATTAAGAAGCCCAAGGTTACAGAAGGATGGAAATAATAACTGAATGGTTCAAGTTTTCTCACTAATTACATTTTATTATTACACTAGGGAAAATATTCCAATAAAGCAATCAATGAGGAAGGGGCTTAAAACTATATAAGAAATATGGCTTATAATTTAGCAGTTTTTAAATGATCACACACAGTACCTTGTATGTAAGTGCTGCTCAAAAATTATTGACTTTTAAAAAATAATAATATATTTTAATATTGTTGTTATTTCCCTAATATAAACTTGTTTTAATACAAGAAGAATGAGGGCATTTAGTCTTTCTAGTGATCTGATACCTTTGTCACCTAGTTCTCTGTTTTATTTACTCTTAGTTTTATCATCATTTTTGATAATTTTTTTATATAAAGCAATAACCTACTCAAACACCAGCCCACTATTTTACAGTTATTTTTATTTAGAAAACTCCATTAACATTTACCTCCACATTTCCATTCCAACACCTGGGACCTATATTACCCTAAAATATTTTCTCTTTGATACCATTTTGGAAGCAAGTTTTTGATCAATTATTACCCAAAATATATTGATTATCTTTTTATTTCATCAAGACCAATTTCTTAGTCATGCTACTTACTACTAATATATAAACTCCCATCTTATTCTACTTTTTTCTTCTACCCAGCCTTTCTTCCTTTCTTCCTTCCACCTATCTTCATTCCCTCATTTATTTATTCAGAAAACACAGGTATGTGGCAATCCTCAATATGAAACTAAATATCTGGGGTTTCCTTTGTGGCTCTACTGCCTGAGTTCCTTTTCCCAAAGTTAAACTGCACTGATGTACTCAAGAAAGCACAATATAATTTAACTTTAAAAACTTCATTTTAAAATCTGTGCTCAAATTGTCTTTATAGACAAACAAAACTGACTTTATTGTGTTCAACATTTAACAAAATTAAAAACATTTATAAATAAAGAGTCAATGTCTGAATCGACTTTAACTTTCACATTCATCTTGCCAAATGTGGTACTTTTAGTTAGGCCCTCTGTTATGGTTCTTCTTAGTGTGAGAAATGGAAGACTGATTCTGATCCTGCGCACAGGAATGCACTGTGTGAGGTCTTACTTGCTCCCAAGCTTATACTTGTGAGATTATATATATATATATGTGTGTATATATATATATATGTATATATACACACATATATATTTCCATCCTTCTGTAACCTTAGGCTTCTTAATATCACCTACAGAACAGTGCCAATTATTAGTGTTAAAAGCTTGTGTTGCTTCTTGACATAATTTTGAATTCTCTATTCTGTTAATAGGATTAATGTCAGAGCAAAAATTCTTTTAATTTAAAATAAAACTTTATGGAGTGTGTGAATGATGTCTTTACCAGGTGAATACAATTCTACGTATTAATAATGCCATCTTTCAACAAAAAGGGAAAGATATATATATATATATATGTAATCACAATGAATCACATTGAACATACATGAATATGGATGTTCCCAGTGTGAATGCTCAGTTACCTTATAAATCATGCCTACAAGGTGCTTTATGGTTTGCAGGTAATCATGACAAGCAGTAGGCACAGTTATCGCCCTACATATAGCCAGAAGTGTCCACGAAGAGAAAATAATCTTAGAAGAAAACTAAGACTACTTTCTCAGATGATCTTACAGAATTTTCACCCAAAGCAAAGGCATCTTTTGCTGCTGTGTGACCTCTGAGGAAAGTCCAGAGACCAGGAAAATCAAACTTTCAGTTGATATGATGCTGCTCTGTTCTCCGCTCTAGGTGAGATCAGACTTCCTGACGATGCTACTTTAAAGAATCTCCTCTCCTTTGCCTGTGTGTTGATAACTTTTGTCAGTTTCTGCCACTCTGATAACAGTAATGTGTAAATAAAGTTGTTTGGAATGTATTTGTATATTTACTAAGAAAATTAAATTTTTTTTCTAAGGGTAACTAAACACGTGTTTATTTTTTTCCATTTTCCTTCCAAATGGAAAGGGAAAATGCTTTACTCCACCATTGAAACTTTGTGAAGCTTTCTCTTTTTGAACATTTAGAACTTACTGTAAATTTTTATTAATGTATTACTTGAATTTTCAAATTCAGAATCAGACACACTTGTACAAATCTGTCCTACTACTTAAAAGCTATGTACCCTGGACTCTCAATTTCTCTGAAACTCAGTTTCCTCATCTATAAATAGAATGCTACCAGTGCCCACCTCACAAATTGTTATGTTCAATGGGACATAATGTGTTTAATCAGTGTTATCAACATTATAAACATTTTATTATTGTTGCAATCATAATAATAAAGAGTATTCATTTCAATTGTTTAATAAACACTTTAGTTTAATTCTAATATCTTCCAGTAAGTCTGAGTATAAAGATATTGTATTTATACAGACAGCTTTTAATAATTTCCTTTTGTATTTGGTAAACCTTTATTATTTGGAAGAATATATTTGATTAACACAAATACTCAAATTGAGACAACATGAACCAAACACAAATCATTGAAATTAGTTTGATTGTTGGCAAATCTCTGTATCCTCAGAATAAATTATGCAAACAACTCAAAGACTGAACAAATAAAACAAACACTGGAAATATTCTTGGGGATTTTATGTTATCTATGGAAAGCATGAAAAACTAATTCTTCCATTTTCTGTTTTCATGACCATCCTTTAAGAGATGTCAGAAATGCATTTGGAAACTAAATCAAGATCACAAAATTGTACAATTCAAAATGCACAGAAACATGTATTTCCCTAGTTTATTACTTCAAAAGTCTCTATGAAACCTTAGTATTTCTTAAACTTATATATTATACTATGATAGCAGGAATTTCTTTTCTTAATGCAGCTATTCCAACTACGTCAAATAATTTGAATCCCAAATATTTTCGTTTTGGCATTAACAATATGACAAAGGAAAAACCTTTAGGAGAAAAAGAAGATATCATAGACTGAGATGTAAAATATACACAAGGAAAAAGTGGCAATTATGTTTAACTAGCATCGTCCCTCTGAACGTGACATACACTGAGCAATTGTTCTCAACATGGAATCACTTACATCAGAATCACTGGAGGCATTTTTAAACATTCATCCCCAGGACATGAGTCAGACTCCCCAAATCAAATCTCCAGAACTAAAATCTGAGAACCTGCATATTTAACAAGCTCCCAAGGTGATTTTTATACACATGAAAATTGATAAGCTCTCACCTTAGACTGATTCACCTGATCTGTACCCAAAGGTTTCAGAAAAACGATTAGGTAAAGAGGAGCCTAAAGCAGTTGTACAAAAATTCCAATTTTGGTGTATATAGTTAGTTCAGTGTTCGTCTTTGTGCAAAATAGCTGATCTATTATTCTATGAGCTATCATTAGTAGGGGATTTACTAAGTCTCATATACTGTGTGACAACTGCTTAGCATACTCATTTTATCTTTATCTCCTAACTCCATAAACTAAATACTACTATCCCTATTTTACAGATGAGAAGAAATGAGATCAGTAAGATTAAGTACTTGCCCGAAGTATTTTGATTAGTAAAGAACAGAAAATGAATTTTTAACTCAGGCTTGAATGATTTCAAAGCTCATATTTCTGACTATTATATAAATAACATCTAATAGGTCTCTATGGCACTTGGTATTACCATACGGACTCCCATGCAAATACTAATTAATCTTAACTTTTGAGGAAGGACTGTCTTCTGTCAACATGGTCTTGTCATAAAATATTTTATACCTGGTACTACTTATTAATGTTTATCATATGTTTACTTACACTATCTCCTTGGATCCTCAAAACAGTTCTGTGACATGAGACAAAGCAAATTATTGTCATCATCTGCAAATGGAGAGATTAGGATAATACCAAGTACCATAGGGATGTATTAGAGGACTGGGGACAAGAATCCACATCTTTTATTGCCTGATATATTTTCTTTTGCTCCCACTATACTGACCCACTAGAAGCCAAGAATTTCCTATATATCCACTTGAACTCAAACGTTTGTCTAGAAAAAAATATTTTAAAGACAAAATACGGTAAAAATTTGGCCGACTGATAGCAAGTGAAGAGGTGACTTGCAATAATAATGGTGACTTTCCAGGGCTATAAAAACTATAAACATTTTTCAATGCTGTAATTACAAAGTTTTGCTCTCTTTCCCCCCACTCTCTTCATCCTGCCAGAAGAGGGTGAAAACAGCCACTATCTGACACTACTACCTATATTAAGGCTGTATTATAGAGTTACAGTGCTAATCTCTTCCTTACAGTCTTAAGTCTTTTAATCTTGTATTTTATAAAGGGGAAGTATAATCCTAGCTACATATAGATGAATCACTTGCCTATTCAACAAACTTTTATTGAGTGCTCAAAATGCATGAGGACCCGTGCTAGTTACCAGGAGTACAGAGCTGATGAAGTCACTCCCTTAATTAGCATTTACTTTCACCTACTCAGGATTCCATTGACTCCTAACTTAACATGCAATTTTAGAGTGGAGATATTTGAAGGGAAGTACTTTCCAAGTTGGCATATATTTTGTTTTAAACCTTTTAAGTCTACAGTAGAATCATGTATTACTTGCTTACAACAGAAATGTAAAATTGCCTGGGAATGACTACTTCTCTGGCACATTTATGCTTTACACTTATTTATTTCAATGTGAAAATAAAATTGACTTGAAACTTACCACTTTTCTATATTCGTTGTGGTGATTTAATTTCTTTTCCTAGACAAGTTACCTCATCAAATTAAATGCTTTTCCGTGCCCAATGTTTCAATGTCATAATAAACTAAGTTATTACATGGAAGTTACTATTACATAAATCTTGACTTGTTGGGTTCCTGGCCTACTACTCCATAGATACTTTAGGCATATTTTATGCACAGATACCTGGTAACCTTATACACTGAAGAATCTTAAATCTCACAGAGGACATATAGTAAACATAATTTTGTTTACTTTTACATTGTTCTTCTAACAAACGGGGGTCTAATCAGAAGACAGAAACCACACAGTAATCTGAATGAGGAATGCTTGATGTAAAGAATTACTGACTTATAACAGGGAATTAGAAAAATAAAGGATTGGCTAGGAAGGAATACAAAGAACTCTGAAAAATATGAGTAGAAAATGTATGATATAGACACTGCCTCTAGGGTGAGATAGAGTGCCCAAGTAAAGGATTACATTTGGAAGAACTTCCTTCCCTTTTGGGTTATTTTCCTAGTACTGAAATCTAGATCTCATAGGAAAGTAAAAAGCCTTGACTCTGGACAATGGAGACATTCACTGTGGCTACAAATCTCCTTGAGTCTGGGTGCAGGGTAGGTCACTCAGAGGAAGCACCAGTCTACCTAACAGTTCAGCCAAGTGCTGCAGGAGATTCATGGTATGGCAGAAACTGGCCATGTTGTAAGAGCTGGGCACTGCAAAAACCACATGTGCTATAGGAGCCTGTCTACAGGAACTCACCTGACTCTGAAGAAAAAAAAAAAAATCCCTTCACTTTTCAGTATCTCTTCTGCACCCTCCACTGACAAAGTTTAGCCTCGGTGCGCTAGCAAAGAGAAATATTATAGGGTCCATCTCCAGGATCGCAGAGCAGGCCATTCAATGTGGATTTGGAGCTAAATATATAACTGACACATTGATGGTAGTATAATTTTTTATTTCTAGCTAACCCAATTTTAAGCTATTTTGAAGATATTGAGAATCTTGGTCATTACTGTATGTAGAGGGTCACTGGCATCTTTTAATAAAACTTTGTCTAATTTAGCGTAAAATCCACAGAAAGCATTAGTGACTGCTATGAAAAGGTATAATGTAAATGTGATACCATAAATATAAAAGAAAACAATTTAGGGATTATATCGCAGTAATTTCCATAAGATAAGAATCTTAAAATTTAAAAAGGTAGATATATTTTATAAAATTTGATTAGTTGTACCAATCAAACATGTGTTAGAAGAACAATTTTTTTAAGCAATTGTAAGTTTTTCCAAATAAATGAGTCAGTTAAGCCTAAGTAACTATTCCCCAAATTAGGTAGAAATAAAAATAAAAATTTGTTTCCTTAAATTTTTATATAAATATTTAACTGAAATGTATCTCCTAAATAAGATTTTCCACACAGAGAGCATTGAATAGAGATGTACTAAAAGATATGTCTAGAGTCCTGAAAAAAAATCATAGAAAATATACCAAATCAGCCAGTAAACAAAAGCAATATATAGATATACAGAAAGCTCTGGGAAAATAACAGAAGAAAAAAAATAAGTAATACAAAATGGCAGAATGTCTTCATATGTGTGTATGAGAGTCTTGATTTCTCAGGACATTCACTGCAAATATGTGCATGGAAAAAGCATTTCAGAATTCATATATTTCTGTCTTCTGGGATGGAGTGGCAGAGTCAAGGGTTTGTAAAGAGTGAAACTAGGTTTCGTCTGGAGTGTTTGGATGTGTGTTTGTATCTGTGTGTCTGTGGGTGCATGCACAGGCATACACACACCCATTCTTTGCATGGCTATTAACAGAAGAAAATCTGGGGTTCAACAACATGGCTAAAAGCAAAAGGTCAGTGTTTTGAAGTCATTTGCAAAGTAAAGTTGCGCTTCAGAGAAGCAAGGGGCCAGGGAGTTGGTCTTCAGAGATAGTTCATTAGGCAAAAGAGTTAAAACTGTAAAAGAATCCAAAAGATACAGAGCAAAAGGGGAAAACTGTGTTTTGGTAGGACTCTCCCATTTTACTCTCTGATCATGATTTATGTCCTCAGTATCTGCCTAAAAGAGATGAACTGATTCACCTTTATCATAACTAGTCATTCTTGATTTCAACTTGTGTGTATAGTGGAAGCACACTTTTATCTTACTGCAAAATCAGATTATACTAACTCATGGTGCTAGTAGCTTAACTTCCCTGAGCTTGTTGCTTCTCCATATCTTGTTTGTTGTAACCAAAGTAAGTTAGAGATACAGGATATTGAGTTAGATATGAGTTGCAAACTCCTTTTCCCATTACCAAACCTATGTCTATGGCTATAAACGCATCCATATTCTCCTTTCCACTGATCCAAATGAATTCCTAATAGATACAAATGCTCAACATGTACTGCACCTTCCTCTTCTATCTTATCAATGAATTTGTTATCATATTACTCACACTCCCTATAGAATTATAATTCTTTCTCTTCCTTATTCTCACAGTATAAATACATGCTCTATAATCTGCTATCTTTGAAACAATCCCCTTTTAACTCTCCAGGTTTTTCTCATTTTTCTGCTCCTTCTGACAACCAAACTTATAAAATCATTTGTCTACAGATATCTTTCTCTCCCTTCCCATTCATATTTTAACCCACAAGACTCTAATATTCATCTCTGTACTCCATAAAACCACGCTTATAAATTGCCAAATTGCCAAATTCAACATAAATATTCTTTTTTTGTCTTATTCAATATCTTGGTAGCTCAGTAGTAATGACTACTCTCTCATTAAAACATTTTTTCTTGTCTTTTCAGATATACTGCCTTGCCTCTTCTCCTACCTTCTCTGTTTCTTTTGCTGAAGTTGAATGATTATGACAATATCATCAATAAATTAGACTTAATTAGATTCACCTGTGTTTCTCTCTGGCATGCTCTCTCATCAATTGTAAATAGTTGGAGTTACTCATTATCTAAGGAGTTTGAAGAATGTTAAGGGGGATGAGAATGACAATCATAATTCTTTTTTTCTTAAGAATATGCATGTGTTTGTTTTATAAAGACAAACACATACATCACCACTGTCACCAACCACCACAATATCTTTGGAAATATGACTAGGGAATTTTTACTTTTTAAAAATATATGTAGAAAAATTAGCCTACCTACTGATACTGGAGGCTAGTTTATTTGTCCGTTTTTTCAAACTTCCAAAAGCAACTTTTCTTTTAGAACAAAACCTCTTAAGAGATTTTTCTAATATAAATAAATGACAACTTAAAAACACGCTTAAAACTTATAAATGCCTAATCCTTTGAAGAAACTTACATCGAATAATAGCCTGATCTACAGCACCAATTTGATGTGGCCTTCATGATGTTTATTCCATCATGATTACCAGTATCAAGGTTTTCCTCCTCAGAATTTAGGTATCAACAAAACAAATATTTTAACAAGATAAAATAATAGACTATAAACTTTTAACATTTAAAAGAAGCCAAGTGATCATTTCCCCTTGTCTCCAGATTTTTTAATTAGGGGATTCAAGTACAAACATTGTTTTGGGTCAAGTTTCCGAGAAACAGACTCTATGCAAGTAACTTACTAAGGGTGGATTAACAGAAGAAACCCACCAAGGGAATAGCCTACAGGGCACAATAAGGAAACATGCAAGCAAGGGTGTAACTTCAGGAATAGCCTTAGCTTCAGCATGATCCTGGTGGATAATTTGGAGCGTGAGTTATGTAGCAAACGTTATCCTGCCTAGAAGCAAGAAAGCTGGGCTTTTATCCTCCTGCCACAGTGGCTCTTTGGATACTTGCGACCCAGGAGACATTAACTCCCAGGTACTTCTGGCTCTGGCTGTCCATCTGGGCAAAACATATTGCAACAATACAAGGATATTCCACTGAGGAAGACTGCAGATGTGAGCCGTTTGGAGGAAAGCACACAGAAACTGGGGGATGTGTGCATCAAACCGGTTCTTTCAGTAGCAGATTGAAACACAGATAACTATCAGTAAGATATAGAAAAATTAAACACAGTACAATAATTCACCAAATCGTCCATTTGGATGATTATGAAGAAGAGCAATCAGCAGCTAAAGAATTCATGTTCTTTACAAGTGCATTTAGAATATTGATAGAAATTAAACCCAAAGAAAATAAAAGAAGAAATTAATAATGTTATAAAAAGATATTCAAAAATTTGGATGAAATAGACAAATTCTTAGACAGATACAGTTTATCAAAGTGTAATAAGGGAAACAGAAAATCTTAACAGTTAAATAACAAGTTTTAAAATAGAGTTTGTAAATAATATTTTACAGGAAAAGCTTCAGGTGCAGAGAATTACAAGTGAATTATTCCAGTCACTTAAAAAATAAATATTACCAATTATATACAGACTCTTTCAGAAGACAAAGCAAACATTTGTCAAGAATTACTTTAAGAGGCCAGCTAAACCTGATGCCAAAATTTGATGATAAATTGCAAGACAGGAAAATTACAGACCAATCTCCTTTATAAATATATATGCATATATTGCAAATAAATAACTAGCAAAATGAATCAGCAATATTTTAAAAAATATTAGGACAAAATTGAGTTGATTCTAAGAATGCAAATTTGTTTTAGATTTAAAGTTAAAATATGATCATAATACATTAAATGTGTTTACGTTCAATTAAATTAATATACTAAGCACAATAAAATGTTTTCAACACAACTAATGACCAAATTCATATAATCACAACTAGACGCAAAACATTATTTAGAGAAATTCAACTTTAATTATTAAAAATAGTAAGAGAGGAATAGAATTGAGCTACCTTCATCTAATATGGCTACCTTCAAAAACCCTTCAGCAAATTTTTAATGTAATGGTGAAACGTTGAAATTTTCCCAGTTAGATCAGTCTCAAAAGAAGGAGGTCAACTATCACAACTGCCATTCATTATTGTGCTAGAATAATTTGTTACTCATGTAAAATTAAAATAGATTTTTATATATTGAGGTTGTATTCCACATTCTTCCTAAATGCACTTAACAATTCTAAAAATGTATCTGTAGATAATAAATATTTTATTTATTTTATTTTAGATACATTTTTGGAGTTGTTATGTGCATTTAGGAAGAATGTGGAATACAAGCTCGATATATAAATTTCTGTTTTAATTTTGTATGAGTAACAAATTATAGGACAGTTTTAAAAAATATTATTTACATTAATATAACAAAAATAAAATGTTTAGATCTAAAATACAAAATGTGTAAGATGTTTAGAATTATATAAAAGATTAATGGAAATTAAAGAAAAGGGAAATAATTGAAGGAGTAGACCATGTTCATGTTCATGGAATTAAAGACTCAATACCATAAAACTATCAATCTTCTCAAATTGATATAGTGTGTGTGTATGTATATACTTCTAACAAATATCCTGATTACAGTTCTTCTCTCTGTGGTTAACAAGCTCTCTGATACATATATATATCAGCTATGATATATATATATGATATAAATATATCAGCTTGTGTATATATATAGTATATATAGTATATAGTATATACAGTATATAGTGTATATAGTATATACAGTATATATATATCACACAGGATATATATACACATATGATATATATATACACATATATATTTCTTCATATGTATACATATGAAGAAATAAAAAGCTAAGAATAGCAATGATGAATTTGGAGAAAAACACAGTAGGATGATTTGCTCTACAAGATAACAAGATTTATTTTAAAGTAATTATCTTAAGATAATATAATATTGGAGCAATGATAAATATACACCAATGGAACAAAAAGGGAGGCAAGAAACAGACTGTTACATATAAAGATATTTCATCTGTATAAATGGGCATTGTACTACACTGCAGAAATATGATCTTTTTATTCAGTGACACTATCTCAAATAGATTTTCCAGAAGTCAAGCTGATATTAAAAGCAAAAATCAAGTCTGAGTGGATTGTATATCTAAATAAGGAAGGCAGTCAAATAATCTTCTAGAAGATATTACGAAAAAATGCATCTATTACCTGTGGTATGAATATAAATATTTAACCAAACACCAAAGGCACTAACTGAAAATGAAACAACTTGTAATTTGGGGTCTATTTAAATTAAGAACTTCTTTCACGAAAAGACACAATTATGACAGTGAAAACACAAATCATAAGGTTGCAGAAGATATTTGTAAGACATATTGAGACAAATAGATCTTGTGAAGCGCATATAAAAAGAAACTTAAAATTAATTTTTAAAAGTCAGAAAACCCTCAACCTAAGTGTCCATCAACAAATAAATGGATACGGAAATTGTCACATATGTAAATAATAAAATATTATTCAACCATACAGAAGAATGAAATCCTGTCATTTGCAGCAACATGGATGAGACTAGAGGGCACTGTGTTAACTGAAGTAAGCCAGGCACAGAAAGATAAACATTGCATTCTCTCACTCATGTGGGGAAGCTAAAATAGTTTATCTCATGGAGGTAGAGCATAGAATGGTGGATATCAGAGTCAGGGAAGGGTAGCAGGGAGAGAGTAAGAAAAAGAGCTTCGTTAATGGATACAAAAAATACAGTTAGACAGAAGAAGTAAGTTCTAGTGTTCTATAGCACAGTAGGGTGACAACAGTTATCAATAACATATGTTTCAAAATAGCTAGAAAAGAAGATGTGGAATGTTTTCAACACAAAGACATGATGAATAAGGTCATGGATATCCCAATTACCCTGATTTGACCATTACAAATTATGTGCATGTATCAAAATGTCACATGTACCCTATAAATATGTACAATTATGTATCAGTAAAACTAAAAACAATTTTAAACACTTAGAAAATCCAATTTATAAACATATGGGCGGAGTCTTAGCTAAGTAAATTTTTTGAGTAAAAAAGAGTATATTCAAATGGCCAATGCACATATTAAAAAGTGCTCAGTCCCATTAACTATTAGGTAAATTTGTTAAGAAAAGCTGGAATAAAGTATTACTGCATACCCAACACAATGGCTACATTTCCAAGATACATTAGAAAGTCTTCAGATCTACATGAACCACTTATACTGCTAGAGGAAGTATAAACTTATCCAAGCACTTTGGAAAACAGTTTTGTATTATCTACGAAAGTTGTGTAAAAACACTCTGTCAATTCCACCTCTACATATATGTTCAGTAGAAATGCATGAACATGAAGTATAAATATTAAGCTGAAAAATCTAGGCACAAAATTACATATAAAATGTGACTGTAAAAAATTCAAGATAGAAAAGCTAAAGCAAAGTGTTAGACATATAGATGGTGATGATCTTCTGGGAGTGGCAAGAAGGGAGGATTGGTCATGCTGGTATTCTTCAACTTTTTAACCTCAGTTGTGATTACACAGATAATCATTTTATAATAACTTATTGAGCTATATATTTCTGTATGGAAGACATATAATAAAATATAATAAAAGTTTTTATTATATAAAAACTGAATGTATAATGAAAGTTTTAAGATATGCATACACACATGAATTTATAAAATTGTTAATTTAAAATTTAAGGTAGGAACCCACATTTAAACATGGACATGGTAGTTGTATCAGGGTCCTCCAGAGAAACAGAACCAATAGAATATATACAAGAGTGCATGAGTGTGTGTATGTGCACATGTGTATACATAGTTGATCCTTGAACAACCTTTGGTTAGGGGTGCTGAGCCCCTGCAAGGTCAAAAATTTGTATATAACTTTTGTCTCCCCAAAACTTAACTATGAATAGCCTATTGCTGACTGGAAGCTTTACCAATAACATAAACAGTTGATTAACATATATTTTATGTTTTATGTATTATATACTATATTCTTACAATAAAGCAAGAAAGAGAGAAGAAAATGTTATTAAGAAAATAAAAAAAGACAGTATATTCACTATTCATTAAGTTAAAATGAGTGATTATACAATGAGATACCATCTCACACCAGTTAGAATGGTGATCATTAAAAAGTCAGGAAACAATACTGTTGGAGAGGATGTGGAGAAATAGGATTAGTTTTACACTGTTGGTGGGACTGTAAACTAGTTCAACAATTGTGGAAGACAGTGTGGCAATTCCTCAAGGATCTCAAATAGAAGTACCATTTGACCCAGCCATCCCGTTACTGGGGATATACCCAAAGGATGATAAATCATGCTGCTATAAAGACATATGCACATGTATGTTTATTGCAGCACTATTCACAATAGCAAAGACTTGGAACCAACCCAAATGTCCAACAATGATAGACTGGATTAAGAAAATGTGGCACATATACACCATGGAATACTATGCAGCCATAAAAAAGGATGAGTTCCTGTCCTTTGTAGGGACATGGATGAAGCTGGAAACCATCATTCTGAGTAAACTATCACAAGGACAAAAAGCCAAACACTGTATGTTCTCACTCATAGGTAGGAATTGAACAATGAGAACACTTGGTCGTGGGGTAGGGGAAAGGGGGAGGGATAGCATTAGGAGACACACCTAATGTAAATGACGAGTTAATAAGTGCAGCACACCAACATGGCACATGTATACATATGTAACAAACCTGCACGTTGTGCACATGTACCCTAGAACTTAAAGTATAATAAAAAAAAAAAAAAAGAAAATGAGTGATCATAAAAGTATACAACCAATTGCCTTCTTGTTGAGTAAACTGAGGAGGAAGCAGAAGAGGAAGGGTTGGCTTTGCGGTCTCAGTGGTGGGAGAGACACAGGAAAATCCATGTGTAAGTGGACCATGCAGGTAAAACTTGTGTTGTTCAAGTGATATGAGAAGAAAATTGACATTTTGTCATGTATGATTAGACCCAAGCCCTATAAATGCATGTCTAAAACAACAAAACAATAATTTCAGGGAAAAACTATAGAAATTGATTTTATGCAGGACTCTTAGACTCTTAGTTCCATATTACTCTTGTTTGGTAGTCAGGCAATCAAGTATAACAAAAAAAAAAAAACTGAGAAAAGGATATTGTCCCCATTGTGGAAGAAACTCAGCACAACTTCTGGACTTTGTTAATCTCAGGAAATGCAGAGCATACCAGGCCAGGGGCTTGGGAAACACTAGAGATAGCATGCTCGCATAGCCATTGGGATGGTCACATTGGTCTTTGTAGCTGTAGTAATCAATGTTCAAACATCTCATACAACTTATGGGCAGCATCCATCAAGGTGAGAAACATGAAGAATGTAGTATAAAAGTAACCTGTTTATAAAGTTATGAGACACTGATGGAAAATATTGGGTGATACCTAGTAGGAATTTAAAAACTTGCATAAGGCTAAGTGCAGTGGGCTCATGCCTATAATCCCAACATTTTGGGAGGCCAAAGCAGGAGGTTTCCTTGAGCCCAATAGTTAGAAACAAGCCTGGACAACATAGGGAGACCCTGTCTTTACAAAAAAAAAAAAAAAAAGCCAGGAGTGTGGTGGCATGTGCCTGTGGTCCCAGCTACTCTGGAGGCTAAGGCGGAAGGATTGCTTGGGCCTGGAAGGTTGAGGGTGTAATGACCTGTGTTCACGTCACTAAACTTCAGAATGGGTGACATAGTGAGACCCTGTTTCCAAAAAGAAATTGCATAAAAGGTAGTGATAAGTATCAATGAAATATTAACAAAAATATTTTTTAGCCAAAAGCTAGTTAGGCCAGGAAAATCATGAACTAAAATCTCTCTCTCTCTCTCTCTCTCTCTCTCACACACACACACACACACACACACACATAAATATCTATGAATTTTAACTTTAACATTTATTAATTTTTAAAAATATGAAATTTCGTGTTCTAAATATTAACTGTAGAATTAAACTATTATACACATGGAAAGTTTGACCTCAGAGAGTCACTCTAATTTTTCATGAAATAGTAAATGTGAACAACAAATCATCCATTAACATCATTTATGACTATTTTATATTTAAATATAGACATCATTTTCAAAATGAATTTATATCTACTCAAGTTTATGAAAGAAATACTTCCATAGTTCACTCCAATTCATTCTATTTTAATTTTGTGGCATTACAGTCCATGCTAACAAATCCTTAAAGACACGTTTCAAAGTAATTTTAAAATAAATAACATTCTCCAAAGTTGCTGATCACTTAAAAAAATTCCCAAGAAAAATCTGATACAAAAATTTCTATATAGAGCTCTGCTTTTAATCCTCATAAATAATATATTGTAAATAAGATGTTACATTCATAATTCTATTTACATTTTAAATATTTAATTGTAACTTACAGAAGTCCTGCAGAAGATTCTATTTCCTAATATTCTTAAATCTACTCTACTATAGCTATGGCTTAGGGTAAAATAAATTTTTTTTTTATGAAAAGCACAAGGTAGCACCTTATAAGATTTCACTGTGCCCTATTACAGTTCTAAGAAATATTTTGTGATTATAAGTTGTTATTCTGAACTCTACCTCAGTGTCCACTCTAATTTTTTGTCTTTTTTTAATGTTAAAATACAACCATCTCTGAAGAATGTATTTGCTCTAATCATACTGCCTGGATTTGACTCTGGACCATACGTAACCCCTCTAAGCCCATTTCTGTGCTTACCTCCGTGATAAGGGTAATAGGGTCATTGTCTGTATTAAATGAGGTAATATACATATAGATATCTTGGTAGACTACTTCACATATATTTACTGTTTAATATATAATTACAATTATCATAATAATGATGATGAAAATATAAAGCCTGCTTGAATTGTAACTTGGAATTTACAGATTATGACATTTATTAAAAGCAAAAAATATCATATTGGCATAATCTAAGAATAATAGGATTCATGCCAATAAATATTTCTTAGTGACACTGATTATAGGAAGAAGTGATACAGTCACACTGCTGCTCATTTGATTTGTTTCACTGTTTTAAATCTAATCTATTTGTCAGGATCTAGAAATGAGAATGTGAATACAATATACACTAATTTTCTATCCCCACATCCAGTTTTTAAGGTATTTTACATAAAATTAAAAAGATAGGACAAAGCAAATATGTTCCTAAGAAATACTAGGCCATAAGAAAACTTAAATGGTATGTTTTCTTCTAAACCAATGATCTTAAAAACCTTGAAAACTTATGTCCTAAACGTTGGATAAAATTCTCAATCTATATCTTAGGAAGAACCATACATATGAAACCTTCTATCCTTCATGTGCTTGGAATAAAAGATAATATAGTCGGAGTATAATTACTTTAAGCCAATCTGGTAACAGAAAACATATTCATTATAAGATAAATTATAAGATGATTTCCTCTATGATATTTTTCATCATAGGAAGTCATTACTATTCTTTGACACTGAAACTTCAATTGAATATTTGAAATCTATTTTTATATATGATTTTTCTAGATTCATTTATTTTAAAAGTGAAATTCCATTTAATTTATACTCCTTCGACATTAATGATAATTGCTTTCTTATGATAATTATTCTTTATTCCATTATTTATTTTTTAAAGTTAGCAGATATCTACTTCTGACTTCTGTAACAACACATGTTCTGTTATGACTTTTGTATTAAGCATAATGCTAAAAGGAACTGTTCCTTTTAGAACTGTTTTCTTTCTCAGAATCCCTCTCCCCCAGAATCTGAAATTAATTGTATTGTTTAAAAGCAGGAAAAAAGGACCAGGCCAGTTGTATCCATCAAGTGTACAGAACAAATATCTAGATATGAAATTCCCTTATGTAACTGCACTTGTGAAAACAAACATTTGGCAGCCATTTCCACTCACACAATCACTGCCAAATAATATAATGATAATGGTAATAATAATATTAATTAATAACAAAATAATAATAAAGTTGTCTTTTAGTGGTGAGGTGTTTTGTGAACAAGCTTATTAACCTCCCTATGTTTCTTCATTTACATAATGTGGGTAATAATACTTGCTACACAAAGCAACTAACATCTCACAAATATTTTCTAAATTATAAGGAAATTAAATATTGTTAATTTACAATTTATATGTTCTAAGATGGTTTTCTGAGAAAATAGAGATATTTTTATCCCTTGTCATTTCATTGTAAGTATTTCTCTTACCCTATTGATTTCAACTTAAGTGTGTCTCTTTGTAGTTTATACAATCAACAGATATATATTGAATTTTATATGCATAAGATGCTGTGATAAGTGCTGAAAGAGAAACAAGAATTTAAACAATGTTGCCAACACATAAAAAATTTTCTTTCTGTCAAGGCTTTACATTCAAATAAAAAAATCAAAACAATGCAAATGTTTCCAGAAATGACATGAAAAAAAGTGAACTTGCAAATTAAGATTATTCAGAATTTGCTGTGGGCTTAGTTAATCATAATGTTTAATTCAATCAAGGACTCATGAAGCAGCTACTATATACAGGCACTTTGCTGCATGCTGGGATACCAAAGCAATTCACAATCTACCCAAGAAATTAATAAAAATAAAAATACTATGTGTATAGTTTATAATGTTATTTGGTCTTTAAGTCAGATTCAACAATCGTACATAAAAAATAATTCAAGCATTTAAAATGTAGATAGTGGACCAAAGTAAACAGAAATTTGAAAAACATATTAGACAATGGCTAGACTGTTAACAGCAAGTCATAGTATTTCTGTATTTCTCTCTCTCGTTATGCACCTCTGACTCTAGAAAGTATTAATGCTTTTTCTCTCATTGCCTTGGTTTCTTTCATGTTTCTGGCCTTAATTTTTCACTCACTCAGCTGTAACCTTTATATCATTGTAAAGCACAAGCAAAACATCAGGCTGTACAGTGGGAAAAGCACAGTACTGAGATTCTTATGATCAGTGATCTTGCTCATTTAACTGCAGACATAGAGTATAAGCTTAATAAGACTACATTGAGAATTCTCCTCTCAAAATGCGTAGGTTTTGCCTCTGTGATACCTAAATTTGCCTGTACAATCTCTTTTAATTCTTAACAAGATGTTTAAGATAAATCATGTCATTAAAAAAATGTATGTTCCAATGTTAAAAGCAACTAAATTATTGTTTTACTTCCATAAACTTGGATACCTTAAATTATATACTCAAATCAGACTTGAATAGAAAACTAAATTGCACTACTTATTGAGAAATTTTGTTAGAGCACTAAATATGTCTAAAATGAAATTTCAACTTTAAGATAAATGGTTAATGCTATACTTTACTCTTAGATATTAAAAATACAAATCAAAACCAAAAACTACATTTAAAACTAAAACAGAAGCCATCAGCTTCATCCTCAAATAAATTAGTAGATACCTGTAATGTAAAACAATACATAAAGGATGAAAGATTAAAAATGAAAACCAAATGTACAGAGTAAAGGAAGATGAAGGAATAAGTCTATAAGAAGCAACTCCATTTGTTCTGGAACTCCCCATAATTGGAAGTACCAGGTGCTGCAGAAGTCAGTAGTAAAACATTAGCAGTAAAGCAAAAATCTAAAGAGGGAGCAGTTAGAGCACCAGGTTCTCCCTCCTAGCTCAACCTGACAAACATCTTTTCTCTATTCTTGAAGGGGGTGGAAAACATCATTCCCTATAAAGACTGAATGAAGAAAGCTCTGGATTTGAAAACATCAGGAACACAAAAGAGAGAAAATGCTGTGATGTGCTGAAAATAGTGAATTATTTGGTTGGTGCAAAAGTAATGGTAATTTTTTGCCATTACTTTTAATGGTAAAAGCCACAATTACTTTTGCACCAACCTAATAGTTGAAAATCCAGAGACGTATTTATAGACTCAAGGAAAGAGATTAAAAACTCTCTTCTAAAAATCCTAAACCACACTAGAGAAAAGATTTATATAAACCAACATTTAAGTGTCTTCACTGGAAAAACCACTCTATTGTAAAGGTGATCTTCAAAAAGGCTGGCCATGCACACAAAGCTCTCAAATGTTTCTGAATTGCTTATTCTCAAATATAAATGAGCTACCAAAGACTTTTGAGTAATTTCCAAAAACTTCCACCATTACAAACCACAACAAAGTATAAAGACAAAACTTAGGAAAAACAGAAACAATACAGGAGCAAGAAAGTACACACTTATCCAAATAAATTTAGAGTTAATATGTTCAGAAAGATGACACATGTGCCAATTCACAAGACCGGAGAAAGATGCTAGAAACATGATTAGAAACTATCAAAAACCTCAAGGAATAGAAAACGGAGAAAGAAAAAAAAACAAGTAATAGAAGATAAAACTAAGAAAATTTCCTAGTTAGTAGTATAAAATAGCAAAGACTGAAAAGAAAAATAAGAGAGAAAGGGAAATAAAAGATTAATCCAGTAGAGCCAATATCTAACTAATAAGAATCTCAACACAAGAAAGTAAAGAACATGTTGAAGGAATATTATGAACATATTTTAACACTGAAGGAAATGAGTCTACAAATTGAAAAGATCTACTAAATGCTGAACACAATTATTTGAAAAAGACTCACGGCAAAATAAATCACTGGAAATTTTCAAACATCCTAATAGTAAGCGAATTTAAAAGCATCCAGAGGAACAGCACAAACAAGTAGCCTTGGGCTTTTCAACAGCAACATTAAAAATTATATAATCATGGAGCATAGCCTTCAAAATTCGGAGAGAGCATAATTTAGAATCATATACCTACCCCAAATATCAGGCAAGTGTAAAGTTGGGATAAAGATGGCTTCAAACACGCAAAATCTTTTTTTTAAATTTACTTTTCATGTATCATTTCTCAGATATACTAAACTAAGTATTGCACCAAAACTAGAGAGGAAACTAAGAAAACGAAGACAGGAATCCAAGAATCAGAGGATCCAACATAGAAAAGAGGCGAAAGTAATTCTCAAAATCTTAGGTGGCCAGGAAGCCCGTACAACCAATCTGGATGGAAAAGGGGAATGGGAGTTTCCAGGAGGAGATCCCCAAGAAGAGAAAAGCAGACAATCTTACAGCTTTGATCATTTAGAAAATATTGTGTGCGTGCGTATGTGTATGTTTTCTGGAGAATAAAATGTTCTTCAATAAAAGAAATATATAGTAGATCTCTTGGCTCAGCAATTAATTATTTGCACTGTTTAAATAATAACTCTGGATACTAATTTCAGCAAAAAGTGAAGCATTCGTTTGGAGGATGAGAGAAAGGAAGTGAATGTATAAAGGAGCTCAGTCTTCATTAAATTATTGAAGAATGGGATATTGATATGAAAAACAAAGACTAGGCAAAAAAAAAAACACAACATAGCAGTTTCATGTGCTCTCTCTCTCTCTCTCTCTCACACACACACACACACACAAACACACACCCAGTGTTCAAATGCAGTCTTCCAGGGCTTTATGAAGTCATCAGTGTTTCAAGTTCCTACCATATTTCTGTTCCCATATTCTGAAAATTGGCTTCTGTATTAGGTCTCTATTGCTGCTGTAACAAATTACCACAAACTAAGTAGCTTAACCAAAACAATTAGTATCTTATATTTCTGTAAGTCAGATGTTAAACAGGAGTCTTACTGAGCTAAACTTAAGGTGTCATTGGAATTGCATTCCTTTTTGAGGTGTTAGGAGAGAATCTTTTTCCTTGCCTTTCACAGCTGTTAGGGATCGCTTGCATTCCCTGAATCAAGGTCCTTTCCTCCATCTTCAGAGCTAGTAAACCTAATTATTGGCAGAGCAAAAAGGGAACCAAGATCTACCAGTTCATTGGTAAACACTACTCTCTAGCTATTGACAAGAAGATGCCCTGAGATTTTACGTCAATTTCTTGAAGACAGAGACAGCCAAGTCTCTGCCTGAAATTTAAAAGCTACTTGCGTCTTAGGGAAAAAAAAAAAAAAAAAAAAAACCAACTTTGTAGACAAAGCAAGCAAAGAAGAGCCTAAAGCAGCCTCCTCAACATGAAATAATATTTTATAAAAATGTTGTCAATACAGATGTGGTTTACAAATATATTTTTGAGGGGTTTACTTTCTAGCTATCTCACCATGCAAGAGCAGCATGGTTTCCTTAACTTTGGAACTTGCTTTATGTATCCACCAATAGGTATCACCTACTGGCCTATGAGTGGCATGAGCTAGGGCCTGTGGTAGAACATACTCTGGCTAATGTTTTATATCATATGAGAACAAAAGTCAATGTGAGGTAGATTCCTCTATGGAAACCCTGACCAGGTTCCTCTTTCTTTTCAAACAGAGTCTCTCTGGGAATTAATCATGAGTATATTTTGTTTAATTGTTTCTAATATTCTCCGTAAGATGCTGCAGAACACAGCCTTTAATTTAACTTTAGCAAGTTTAAAGGCTGGGTGGAAACTGGAGAAAATTCCTTTTCCTCAATAGCCTTTCCCCATTTTCAGTGAATGCTCCTATTTTGCATACTATATGGTAACAACTGCTGACTTCACAATTCTGTAAGCTCCCTATGAAACTAGTGCTGGATCAGATATCCCACAACCCGGGCCTTGTTATTGAAGTGTATTTCCTAAGGAGTGAATACTCTTGACTAAGAAGTGCATTAGTCGGGGTTCTTTAGAAAAACACAACTAATCAGATGGAGATGATAGATAGATGATAGATGATAGATAGATAAATAGATAGATAGATAGATAGATAGATAGATAGATAGATAGATAGATGGAGATTTATGATAAGGAATTAGCTCACACTGTTATGGAGGCTGACAAGTTCCAAGGTCTGCACTCAGCAAGCTAGAGACACAGGAAAGCCATTGGGGTAGTTATAGTCAAGTCCAAAGGCCTGAAAACCAGGTGTGCCAATAGTTGTAGTAACAGTTTGAACACCAGCAGGCTCAAGACCCAAGAAGAGCTGGTATTTCAGTGTGAGTCAGGAGGCAGAAAGAATCTATGCCCCCCAGCTTAAAGACGGTCAGGTAAGAGGAATTCCCTCTTATTTGGTAGGGGGTGGAGGGGGTCAGCCTTTTTGTTTTATTCAGAACTTTAACTGATTGGATAAGGGCCACCTAAATTAAGAAGGGTATGCTGCTTTATTCAGTCTACCAATTTAAATGTTCAACATTAAATTCAGTCAAAATCCCTTCACAAACTCATAATAATACTTGATCAGATATTTCAAGCCATAATATCTGGGCACCCAATGGCCTTTTCAAATTAGCACCTAATATTTATCATTACAAGTAGCTTGCTTATTAAAAGATATTTCCTTCTGTGGACAACTCTATCTCACTTATTTCAAAAAAACTGGTGAGCCTATTTTAGAGCAGAGCTGAAACCAACAGCTATACATTCCCAGCCAAATAAAAGCTGTTTCTTTTTGGTGTGAGTTTGTCTTTGTTACTAATTTTAAAAAATATTTTTTTGAACACTGGGATCATTAGGTCTCTAGAATTATAATTGTAAAAAAAAAACTTGCTTGCAGCTTTAACAAAGTTATTATGGAAACTCTTCTTAAATAAAGCTTGTTTTGATTTTTTTTTTTTTAAAGAGAGTTTCTCTCTGACTCTTCCATTATTCGACCACAGTTGTGGCAATCATATTATTAGTTTGAGTTAACCTGGATAACCCATTAACATTGCCACATCTCAAGGTCCATAAATTTAATCACACCTGCAAAGGTCTTTTTTTTTTTTTTGCCATATAAGGCAAAATACTCCAGTCACATTTCCTCATGTCAAGGTCCATAAATTTAATAACACCTGAAAATCCTTTTGGTCATATAAGGCAATATATTCACAGGTTCCAAGAATGAGGATGTGGACATGTGGGTTCTCTGGTGGACTATTCTGCCAAACACCTCTCCCTTCCTTGGTGTTACTTCATGGTCACAGAAGTTGCTACAATTCCAGTCATCATGTCCTTCCCAGAAGGTAAAAAAATTTAGAAGGAAATACCTTCCAACTGATTGACCATCTTTTTAAGTAAACTTCACTAAAAACCTACCAAGCAATTTGTACTTCATGTAATTGAATGGATTAAGTGTTTAATTGGGTGTCACACGAGCACACTCATCTCTCATAGCAGAAAGTCAATAAATTATGATGAAAATCTATAAATTAAAAAATAGCAACGTTAGTATAATACATGGAAAATTTGAAAAGGAAATCACTATATGAATTGGTTTTCTCTGGAGAACGGAATATATGGAAGGAAAGGGGAGGAGGGACTTCTTTAGTCTTCATAAATTGCATGGCACTACCTAACTCATTTAAATACGTGCATGCATGTTTTGATAAATAAAACAGAACAATAATTTGATCTACCGATTTACAGCCATTTCATCCTGGTTTTTCCTCTAGATTTTTTACAAGGATTGACCCTATGGCTAGAATGCCACTATTATGCAAGTGCAACAAGACTCTCCTGCAAATAGCTGCAGGAAAGCCTCCTTATTTAACTCTACAGTATTTATCTTATTAATTTAAATGTTGGGGTATTTTTTTACTTATCTCTCAGTGATTCTTTTATCACTTATTTTTGAGATTTTATATATATATATATATATATATATATATTTAACTTTTTAGTATCTTAAATTAGCTCTTAAAAGCAACAAAAAATAATTATTTGTGCAGCTTATTTTACCCAGAACCCCAGCAGAGCTGTGTTTAACAGATTCTGAAGAGGAGATCCTACAATGGAATTTCAAACTAGCATTCTTTGGCAATTGTAATATTGTATATTTTGATTGACTAGATTTTGCAGTTTCCAGAGGTTTCTAAGAAGATAAGTAGTTTAAAATGTTTTTTATGTGTTCCCACATACATAAAATGCTAAGAGAGAAAAATGATCCTTTCCCTATCTGAGTATCCTGCATTTTGTAATGTGACCGCTGAACTAAGTTTTCTTTAAAACACTATTGTTCATTTACCATTCATTCAACGTTCTCCCTTTTGCTCAGAAAATAGGGAACTCAATTTCTGTGATGGTCAATGGAACTTTTGACAATTTAATGAAGAAACCTGGAGAGTCAGAGGGTAAGCAGAGAGATGTTTTTTCCTTATATCAGGAAACAGCACTGAAGTGGTAAATATGCGGTTTTATTTCTGTTCTTAGTATCATAGCCTGGCCTGCCTGCCCCTAGTTTTAAATTGGGAAGCATCTCAGAGAATTCTCTGAACAATAACTGTTCTTTTCATTTTCTCATGATTTGCTACCTCTATTAGATGGGAGTAGAAAACACAGCTAGTTCAGATTGAAGCAAGAATGGTGTTTCCTAACATCCATTTTCTTCCTGCTCTTCATCTCTCTCTCCCCACCTTTGGCTAACCAGGGAAATTTACTATAACTTATATACCACAAAAGAATTTCAGGCTGTATTCTACTGAATTGTGAAAACATACATGAAAGACATGACCCAGGATAGGCAAGAGTAGTAATAAACCTTGGGCTTCTGCCTCCCCTGTGATTCTATTTGAAATCACCTAATGCCTCTATTTATATGAGGAAGGAAAAATGTGATCTATATCACTAAGTGAAATATCCCAGCCAGGTTCTGTTGCCTAAGAAAATCTTAGATGAGACCAAGGAAAGCACTTATATCTGCTTAGAACAATACATTGTTAGTGAACATCCAGGCACAAAATAATGATTATAGTAATAACAATATTATAATAAATGATAAGTAAGGATGACTCTAGGACAACATCTGATTAAAAAATGTAAAAAATCAAGAGGACTCGAAAATATTGGAGTCAAACTAAACCAATAATTCTCAATTGGGGTGATTTTGCCCCCCGGTGGGGCACTTGGTAAGTGTTTGGAGACATTTTTGGTTGTCCTAACTAGGGTATTCTACCGGTATGTAATAGGTAAAGTTCAGAGATACTGCTAAATCATCATACAACACAGAGGACAGCCCCCACACAACAAAGAATCCATGGTTTAAAGTTTAATAATTCTGTAGCTGAGAAATCCTGAGTTAGACATTAATTTTTAAATCTACTAATTGCATGAGACAATAATAAAACTGACAGAATAAGAATAATAGAGTGCATTATTTTGGGTAATAAAATGGGATCACTTTGATATGCTATATTATACATTTAAAGCAGACAGAAAATATATCAAATGAAATACATCTTCCAAAATCCCTGGATATTGCATTTGAAGCAAATTCTGCTCACTTCAACACTCTCAGCTTTTTCAGTAGCTAACAGTTTAGCTTCTATTGCAGTTTTAAAATGTCTAGGTTTACCTAGAAATGTTACACATAAACAGAGAGCTGGTGAGATATATTCTCCTGTATATAACAGTAGTCTATCTTCTGCCACTAGCTGAAATGGATCTTTCCCAGCAACTGTGTTTTAAGTACCTTCACTGCTCAAAGGTCACGACCTTCCCTCTAAAGCCTTCCCAACTCCCCTAGGAAAGACATAATCATTTTTCCCCCTCTTGTTCTCCAAGAATACTTAGTGAACCTCTCAGTTATAAACTCTTTTTACATAGTAATTATTAGCAAATTTTGCTTATCATTTAATCTCACAAAGCCCTTTGTGAGCTCATGCAGGATAGAGATCACATCTTATTTTTCTTAAAACTGAGCACAGGCTGGGCGTGGTGGCTCACACCTGTAATGCCAGCACTTTGGGAGGCCGAGGCGGGCAGATTACCTGAGGTCAGGAGTTCGAGAGCACCCCGGCCAACATGGTGAAACCCCGTCTCTACTAAAAATACAAAAATTAGCTGGGCATGGCAGCAGGCGCCTATAATCCCAGCTACTCGGGAGGCTGAGGCAGAAGAATTGCTTGAACTCAGGAGGCGGAGGTTGCAGTGAGCTGAGATCATGCCATTGCACTCCAGCCTGAGTGACAAGAGCGAAACTTCGTCTAAAAAACAAACTAACAAAAAACAACTGAGCACAGACCCTGGAACAGAGTAGATGCTCAAGATGCTTAATAAATATTCATGGGATGAGTAAATGAGAATGAGTTTATAACTTGGATTATTAGATTCAGGAGATCTTGATTTGAATCTGTGTGCTTAATGTTACTAAATATGGTTTAAAACTGTATCCATCCAGACTGCCTAAATAATCTAACACAGATCACAGTTATATTCTCTGCAGAATTTAGTGTTAGAGACCTGCAGAGTGCACAGAGTTTGAGTGCGCAAGACATATGGCTCCAGAGAACATTAAATGTCAGTTAGTGTACATGCAGAGACAGGAAGGAAGGAAGGGAGGGAGGAAGGGAGGGAGAAAGGAAGGAAGGAAGGAAGGAAGGAAGGAAGGAAGGAAGGAAGGAAGGAAGGGGTTGGGAAGAAGAAAAAGAATAAGGTGGGGGAGAAAGAAGGAGAGAACGAGAAAGGAAGGGAGGAATATTCCTCCCTACATTCCCAGGTGCCATCTTAGTAAAACAGGCTTCAGACAGCAGACAACAATAAGAGATTGAATACTCTTTGGTAATAACAAAGAAAGCTGTTGAAATCAAACAGAGGTATGTATGACCTAAAGGTTTATGAAAAATTAACAGATCACTTTTTAAAAATCAATTTCTAAATCCTCAAAATCTATATGTCCTCTTTCTGAAAGTGAGGTCCCAGACCTTTATTCTTTCCCAAACTGATATTCCTGATAGCCCTGCTCCCACTTTATGAAAGACAGGCATATGCCTCACTCATCCAGAATCTTACCTTTGTGTAGTAAGGTGTATATACTGAGGATTGTCCAACCTAACAGGGGATAAAATCCACTAGTGGGGCCTATCAAAATGACAATTTTAAATACTAGCCTCTATACAACTTCCTTGGATTAAGGTACCGTAATCCTTTGGTGGAGTTTTGTGCCTTTTCCTGACACAAATTTTGGTTAAGAGGGGGAGTACAGCATTAGATATGAGACATTTTAGCCGTGTTTGGGATCCTATGTCATTGACTCTTCCTTCCTTTATGACTGACAAAGACTGTATTCCTCCTGAGAGTCCTGTGAGAGCAATGCAAAGAAAGATTCTGTATGAAATATTGTAAGTGCCAGCATCTTACTTCATCTAGGCAAAAAACTCATTGCAAAAGCCCATGCCTTATTAACTATTTCTCTTAGATTCACAATGATTAAGATATGTGCAAAGTAAACTGTGAAATGCCAATCTATTGCAAAGTATACCCTCACGGCATTTTGACAATTCTCAGTAATGAGAAAAAATTGGATGATTACTCTCATTTGCCCTTGCCCAGATCGGTGTCTCAGTTGCATGTTTTATATGATTTTTATACGGAGCAGGAAAAATATTCTGCATTAACTTCCAAAACATGAATGTTCATGTTCCAAAATATGAATCAATTAACATTCAGGACCTATTCAGGTGAAGAAGACAGATCTTGAATGTTGGTTGATATATTGTATGCTCTTGGTCTTTTCTTCAACCCCCACAAAGAATATTTTTTATTGACTATTGTAAATATATATATATATAAATATTATAAATCCATCTTCATCTTTTACTTAGGTTACTTTTCACATTCTTATCACATTTCAACATATCTGTATTATTTAACAGGAGTGTATTATAAATTCTGATATAAATATTTAGCAGCAGTAATTAATACACATGTGTTTCCCTATCCTTTTAAATACCCTAATCCTAAAAGTCCCCCACTCCTGTTATAGGACAAAATGTTTCCCAAATGGATTCAAATGAAGAATGCCCTGAACATAGAACAGCAGTTCCATATAATTTAGATGAATCCTCTCAGAAAGGAGTTGAGGTCCTACTTCAAATGTTCTTTCAACTCCTATTCCTTTCTTCACAAACCACCCCAACTCTAAAGACATATTTTCTATCCTGTTTGTCAATGAACCAAATGGCATTCTGCCTTTTCCTTACAAATAAATGGAAAAGCAAAAGTGTTGAGTCACAGTACTGTTGAAAGTACCACCTCTATAAAATATTAAATATGTTCAAGTTATTTTGCTGAATAAAAAAATTGTTAAATTTCTTTCTCCTTGAAACCCAGAAAGATAAAAAGTGTCTGCTTGTTAATGGCTTAATATAAAGCCACAAAATATCATCCTATCTGTTTATACAGTAGCTAATTAGATTCACACTTGAACATATTACAGAAAAACTTTTTTTTAATGTAGAGAGGAGCAACCCCTTAAGAAAAAAGAGAATACTGAACTCTGTAATGAGAGAATAAAAACCTGAATCTACTTAAAAACATAACAACAACAAGCCTCTGAAGAAGAATATGTGCATCTGAAAAGTGGCATAGTAGGAATTGCAACCATGAGTAACGTACATTGACAAAGGAAGAAGGTGAATGGAAGCAAGATATATTCCAGGTAGATATTATGGAGAAGTTTTTCTGCAGTTGACTGACTAATAGGTTTCTTCAGAGGCGATTTGAAAGTAAATCATACTCCATAAAAGATGGAAAAGCAAAACCTAAGAAAAGCGAGAAAAGGAATTTGTTGACAATTGTGCAATTGACAGTCGATCCTTGGTATCAGCAGACACCAAAATCCCCTCATAATTCCCACAGCTGGCCCTGTGGAAGCGCAGATAAGAAAAGTCAACTCTCTAAAGGCGGATTTCACATCCTGGATACTGGATTTCGGATCCGCGTTTGCTTGCATATTCAGTACCTGCCAATATAGAAAGCACAATATATTTATTGAAATTTAAAAAATTAAGTAGAAGTAGATGAATGCAGTTCAAATTCATGTTTTTCAAGGTTCATCTGTATTTTGTTTGGTGGGTAGAAATACATTTATGTAGTGTGTGAAGCATTTCTTGAGCTGAATACAGTAATTAAGAGCTCTGCTTCTAGAGTCAGAAAAACCTGAGTTCCTTACTATCATGAAGTCTTTATTTCCTATGTCTGATATGAGACTCACAGATTTATGGAAATAATATCCAGCACATTAAAAGCTTATCTCAGTGTCTAACACAGAGGAAGTCATCTTTTTTAAGTATGTGTGTGTGTGTGTGTGTATATATGTATGTGTGTATATATATATATATGTATGTGTATATATATATGTACTTTAAGTTCTGGGATACATGTGCAGAATGTGCAGGTTTGTTACATAGGTATACACGTGCCATGGTGGTTTGCTGCACCCATCAACCCATCATCTACATTAGGTATTTCTCTTAATGCTATCCCTCCCCTAGCTCCCCCGCCCCCAACAGGCCCTGGTGTGTGATGTTCCCCTCCCTGTGTTCTCATTGTTCAACTCCCACTTATGAGTGAGAACATGCGGTGTTTGGTTTTCTGTTCTTGTGTTAGTTTGCTGAGAATGGTGGTTTCCAGCTTCATCCATGTCCCTGCAAAGGACATGAACTCATCCTTTTTATGGCTGCATAGTATTCCATGGTATATATGTGCCACATTTTCTTTATCTAGTCTATCGTTGATGGACATTTGGGTTGGTTCCAAGTCTTTGCTATTGTGAACAGTGTTGCAATAAACATACATGTGCATATGTCTTTATAGCAGAATCATTTATAATCCTTTGGGTATACACCCAGTAATGGGATTGCTGGGTCAAATGGTATTTCTGGTTCTAGATCCTTGAGGTATCTCCACACTGTCTTCCACAATTGTTGAACTAATTTACACTCCCACCAACAGTGTAAAACCTTCCTATTTCTCCACATCAGAGAGGAAGCCTTCTAAAGCTACATACGCTGCAGATAGAAACATACCCCATTGGCTCTTCCTTGAAAGGTGATTTTAGTTTGGAAGATTAACATATTTTAAGTGAAAGAAATACTTAAGGTAAATCTGGGAAAGAATTTCTTCTCGCTCTACAACTGCATGGCCACACCACAAGCTCTGGATATGGAGACTATGACTAGAGTATAGATTATAAACTACTTAAAGTCAGGCATCAAGTTTTTCATTTCCCTCATACATTCTCCACATCTTTTTATACTGATCTGTTCACAAGCAGCACATGATAAACATTGACTCAGTATATGAGTCAATGATCTCTACATATCTAAACACAGATAGTTATTTTCATTAATTCATCACTCAGTTCTTTGAAAGATTTCACCTGCCAGGACACTGACTCCTGTCATGTCAAAAGCAGCATCTCAGTACTAAAACCAGCACAAGCACAGCAAGACATACTGTGCACAGAAATCATGCACTGCTAAGATGAAGACATTATAATGAGAGCAAGGTAACAAGCAGAATAACAATTTGCCAACAAAAGACAAATTTTCTTCCCTTGGAAGCGATATCTACAGAGAATACCAACAAGGAAACTGCCTGTCTGGGATATATATTCTTATCAAGCAATGCATTTCTTATCATGATGAAAAGGAAAATGAATCCATGGCTAATACTGATAAGTTAACAGAGATATTGTGGTTCAGTAAACATTAATTTATCATTCCATTGCTAAGAAACAAAAGGAAATAAAATAACAAAGGAAGAAGGAAAGTGTAAAAGCAAAACTATACACCTTATGAAATACATAAAATAGGTAATTGACAACCAGTTATGAAGTAAAATATTTAAAATCAGATTCTCTAATTCTGAAACAAAGGAGGCTAAATTAAAATTTTATTTCCTCCTTGAATTGAAGAGCCTATCATTTAAGTAAAGCTTGGAAAAAACAACCCTCCCCCACAAAATAGAATAAATGAATGAGACAATATTATGTACAACTGAGTATCATACTGAAAATCTAAGCCATGGGTGAAAATCCTCATTATCCAAAAAGATTTTCCTAGATAAATTTATTAGCCCTCTATTAACCAATTACTACAGGTGTCTTTGCTTATCCAGTTTTTAATAGAGAAGTAATCTGCCAACCTTTTGAAGTGGAAAAATATTTTAAAGTATTATCAGTAGTGCTATAAAGTTATAGGCTACTTAGTAAATATTAAAACAATGGGTCAAAATTAGAGTTCGGATGACTCTAAACTTGATTGCACTATTATCAAACACCATAGGAACTACAGAAATGCTTAACAGAAATGATGATAAATTAAGCAATTAGATTAACCCTTACAGCTATGCCATTATTAAAAAGAACACACCTCTAGCCACCATTTTAATAATGCTATTAATATAATAAATGTACCTAATTCCCATTAATATACTAACGTTACATTGTGTGTATTATGTAACTTGTGAGTATACACTATTAAAATCATTTATGTATTATATATACTTTCCATAATAAGTATAAATAGCTTAAATTCTTATTCCATTGTTTTCATTGAAGTGTTGGGAGTAAGACATATTAGAGTTCTTCAACAGATTTTGCTGTGTACAAAAAAATTATATCTGAATGATTGTTGTTTATGCCAAATTAGCACAGTCAGATGTTACTATAGAAAGACCACATGGCATGTGGGAATATGATATGATGTTTACCAAAGCAAGAAAGCAAGCTCTGGAGGCAGATGACCTGAGTTCATTTACATTCATCCTATCTAAAGTGTATATGTGTTGCCTTGTATCATTCTATAGGTCCTGCCATTTATCTATTTGTTGTCTGTTTGTTCTAATGTAATAGTTATTAAAATTCTCTCTAAGCCTCAGTTTCTCCACTGTAAAATAGAAATGCAAATAGAATCCATATAATACATTTAACACAAGTCCAGGCACATAGTAAGCACATAAATAAAATGGCTTTAGTTACTAACCAGCAAGTTAAGAAGAAATACTCTTACTACAATATTACATGTATTCCTCATATCTGAAGCTTTTACTTATTAATGCAACTAGCATTTGACATGATGCCAGTTATTTATTTATTTATTTTTTTTTTTTGAGACAGAGTCTCGCTCTGTCGTCCAGGCTGGAGTGCAGTGGAGCGATCACGGCTCACTGCAAGCTCCAACCCCGGGCTTCACGCCATTCTCCTGCTTCAGCCTCCCGAGTAGCTGGGACTACAGGCACCCGCCACCACGCACAGCTAATTTTTTTTTTTTTTTTTTTTTTTTTTTTTTGGTAGAGACGGGGTTTCACCGTGTTAGCCAGGATGGTCTCGATCTCCTGAGCTCGTGATTCTCCCGCCTCGGCCTCTCAAAGTGCTGGGATTACGGGCGTGACCCGGCCAATATTTTGTTTTTTATTAGGAGTATTAAACAATTATATTCACTTTTAATTCAATTCTTGCCTTTCTACACTGTGTGTATACTTTTTTAAAAATGAAAACATTACTAACAACAAAAACAAAATCACCAATTAAAATTCTTCACCCCAAAATAATTCAGAAACATAAACATATTTACATGGTAGAAGGGTATGTGGCAAACCCTATAATCAGTCATTTTAAACATTCTGTTTCACATGAAGCTTCACTCTAAATTCATTTAATAAAATTCTTAAGAAAATCCTTGGATGGTTAATTACAAGATAAATGAAGATGAGCTCAGATTATTTTTGATTCCTTCTTACAGTTTTCATTGTGCTCTTCTTCTAAAATAGATATATAGGTTTAATATATATTTATTATATATATACATATCTATCTCTATCTATCTATAGATGTAAAAGCAAGTACAAATGAGGTACAAAAAAGAAAAAAATCGTTTTTAAAAAGAGGAGAAAAAATAAAAATAAAATAAAAAGAGGAGGGTGGTTCCAAAGATGGACTATCACAGCCACCAACAAAGGGAAATTTCCATAAAGGAAATAATCTCTCCTTTTAAAATAAAAAATTAGCTTGACATGGTGTTAAAAAGATGATGGAATTAAAAACACGGGCTGATTTTCAAGCATAGTTTGCCTTATGAAACGCACAATGTTGATCACAATGTAAATGTGCTGACTTGCCGGTGCCCACTCTCTGAGTTTGGCTTGCCTGTTCTAGCATTTGTACTGTACCAATTCAATTCCCTCACCACTTTCCTCTATTTGAAAAACTGTGCAACCTATTTGACATTTTCTTGTCCAAATATATTTTTTATATATCAAATCCTCCTCTTTTAAATTTTCCATTTACTTCTGATTATTACGTATCACAAGTTGATACCAACAATATCAGGCTTATTTGGCAGTAGGTTATTTGGCAGTAATCCACAAAACGCAGAACATGCTAATATCAAATTCTGTGTTATCATCAAACATTGTTTTTGCTTTACCACTTTTTAAAATTGAGATTTTTTTCGAATACCATAAAATTCACCCGTTTAAAGTAAACTACCATCTGTGGTTTTTAGCATATTAGTAAGGTTGGGCAACCATCACCTTTGTCTATTCCAGAACATTCTCATGACCCCAAAAAGAAAGCCCCATAACCATTAGCAGTCTCTCTCATTTTCCCTCTCTCCCCACCCCAGGCAACCACTAATCTACCTTCTGTCCCTATAAATTTGCTTATTCTGGACATCTCATATAAATAGAATCAAACAATATGTTATCAAATTTAATCACAACATTTAAAAACAGAAAATCTGCCAACCCTTGAGAATACGGCAGCAGAGCTCAATTAAGGAAATATTTGTATACAATAATACCAAAGCAGGCAAAGAAATATGATGGAGGAAAATTTTTTAAAAAAAGGAAATGGAATACTTTTTAAGATCCTACTTTAAAATATTCAGTTCTTACCCCTTACGGAATAAAAATCTCCAAGGAGAAAGCCTGGGTGTTTGTATTTTAAAAAGCTTTTCTGGGGATCGTGGTATTTGGCCAGGTTTGCTTTAGGCCATACTCTGACTCATTTCTAATGCATGTCATTTCTAGAATTTGATTGATTCAATGATCCATTTGCAAGAGTCTAAGCCATTCAGTTTGATATGTTGAAGAAATACAAATAAATAAATAAATAAATAAATAAATAATTCAAATAGCAATCCCACAATATGCTAATGTTTTAATAACTTCTTAGTTTGTCTATGCAATAATTAATTGCTTAATTGTGTTTCTAGACATCTACAAATGTGCATAATTTTAAATTTTACAATAAAAATTAAATGTATATTTATTTAGATTTCTTAGTTCTTGCTTTCATTTATTTTGCATAAGCAATGCTACACACATGCAAATTGATACAAACAGAAATTAAGCTCCCACAAATTATTTCATTTATGTTTCTAAATAGACTCATAACTAACAGAAAAAATTTACCAGAAAAAATATAAACATTTGTATTTAAAATGGTCATGTCCAAATATCATGAAAATTTTAAATATAATTTATTACTTTATGTAAAAAGTGGTGAATACTGAAATAGCTACAGATATGGTAAAAGATCAAAACAATTTTATTTCCATTGAATTTTAAGATATGCCAACAAATGTACTTTGTTCTACATTTCCTTCACAAATATTTTGTCATCTCTCTCTGCCTGAAGCTTATCTCAGTAATTAAATGCTTTGAATTAAATTTTATATGTATTTTCTTTTTTAATTCATCACTTCATATCCAATATCTCTGACAAGATATGTAGAATTGAGTCACTAGAAGGTTATATATGACCAATAGCATTTATTGTAAAGAATAGAAACACTGGTATGAAGCTACCTGAATATATGTGGTAGGCTCAGAAATGCTACTACCTTCTTTGCCCCACAAGCAAAGACAGATTAAAATATGTGCCTCACAGTGGATTTTTAAAGGGCAGGGCAAGAGAGAGAGCAAGGTAGGCCAGGGTTCTAGCTAGGCCAGGATTGAAGATGGGGAGGGAAAATCAAACTACTTTGGCATTGAGTCTTAATCAACAATATAATTTCTGATAAAGTTCTATCTCAGCAACTGGCCTTAATTGTTCAAATGTATCAAAGGACATGTAACCACCATAAGTTTTGACAACCACACCAATCCTTTGGGGGAAAAATATACTGCCTCAAGACAATTCTTCGTGAAATGTCTTGCTCTATCTAACATAAGATAACATAGTGTAGGTTGCTCCATTTCCAAAACATTTTAGGAGTCTTGATTCCCCTCAATTGATTTATAGTTCCTCCTACAAAATTCTGAGTTCTTAACATACCTACCTCATGTTAATTCCTGGGCAACTTTTGCAATCAAGCTCAATAGGCAAAGTGCTACATTACTATTGAGAACTACAAAAAGATATGGTCAAGAGTATTGCAATTCATTGAATAAATCGCTAGGTTGAATCCAAATTTAAGAATAGAAGAATTTTTTTTCACTGATTTACATTAAATTTCAGAGTTACTTTGCTGTTTTTCTTTTTTCCCCCTGATTATCCTTATATTAGCTCTGGCATCTTCAGTTCTTCAGTTAAAAGTTTGTTTGTCCCAGGCCTCTGTTAAGTAGATAATATTTTGAAATACATGTAAGGCATTGTTAACAGGTCCTTTGGGTTAATCTCATTAGATAAAGAATACTTTCCATTGAAATTAAACACCAGCCTTCTGGTTAATCATTTTTGTGACTTCAGGTTTTCATATGCAGAATTTATTTCATCCATTACATTTGCTCTTAGAATTTTTTTTTTAATTCTTCTTTCCAGCTGTCTCTTGATTACTTGCTTTCAGTTGGTATTCTCTCCCAACAGTTTGTATTTTTCAAACACTGTTAACTAGCTGATTAGCTACTTTTGTTACTTTTAATCAACTATATCAAAAATAGTATTTCTTCAACTTTTCTGAGGTTGCAATCTACACATGTACCTGTAGAATACACCAAATAATTCTGATTTTTTATTGTCAAATACTCATGTTTTCAAACAAAATAAAATCTGCTTTGCAGAGTCAAATTGTGCCAATTTGATATTTTTGTTAGATTAGCCACAAGGAAGTTTATAGTTTGAAGCTAGATTGCTTGAGTCTCTTAATAATCTTGTTCTTGCTCATCTAAATCCAAATGATTATATGACTTAGATCCTATTGGAGTTTATCCTAAACTACACTAAATCAAGCATGGCAACAATAATCTTTGATTTTAAAAGGTGTGTATTCAGATGATGAGGACTATATTTTAAACATCAGGACAAAGGCAAATTTAAAGCTCCAAAAATAAACATGGCTCTTGTACTGGATACCTTTTTTTTTTTTAATTTGCCACTTATTCTGATGCATGGAAGATTACAGTTATCTCCTTTTTTCCCTGAGGAATTCAAATGCTGGTCACATAAAGCATCTTATTCTCATTCTGACAGGGTGAAAGAATTAGTACTCCACGTAGCAATCTTGCTCTCCCTCCCTCTGCCTGTTGCCAGCTTACTTTTTGTTCTTATACTACAAAAGCAGAAAGTGATTTAAGTTTAATTTTTCTCCTTTGAAGTCATAATGAATAATCATAAGGATAAGTCAATATGTTTTAAGAATCCAAAGGATAATAACTCTGTTGTATTCATTTTCTCAAAACAGATGCCCCCTGGAAAGCATATTTCATTTTTGAAACTTTAAAAATATTACCCAGCAAGGGATGGGATAGATATATAAGTTATAAGTCACAGCTGTTTAAAAATCACAATAAACCCAAATCTTAAAAATTCAGAATAAACTGTTAATATTTATAAGATGCCATATTGCCTCTTACCTAGATTAATACACACTGAAACTACATTTCTCTCTGAAACTGACACATAATTTATTTTATGAAGTAGTGAGAACAAAACTAATAATTCCACAATAACAAGGGGAACAATATGATTGTTTTGTATATGTCATAAATATATACGTATCTATCAATATTGAGCATTGCAAATATATTAACAAATTCATTTGCATAAAAACACAATAAAAATTTAAAAGAAATGAAAGTTTAGCTGTACATTTTTATAAATTGGCAACCCATCAAGAAAATACTGCTAAACATTGCTTTGATTACTATAATTATTTTTTAACTTTTGGAGAGTACAGGATGAGACTATTTTGATTACAATTTTGATTAAGAAACTGGAAATATGACTAATAAATTTAGTCATATTTATCAATTACTTCCTTTTTCACTTAGAGCAAAATTACATCAATAAAAATTTCTGTATCAATAAGTACCATTTTACTTCTCTTTCAAATATTCATTTGGATTCTCTTCCTTCTGGAAAGTCTAGTTGGAGACAAGTTAGCTGATTGAGTAAAGAAATCAAAAGTCAAAAGAACTGTAAATTAAGTCAGTCTATGTGGAACAAAGAATATGGACATTAAATAGCTCTAGATCCTCAGCTCTGTCATTCACTAACTATATCACCTCACATAAGTCTGAGTCTGAGCCTTAGACAAGTTTACTCACCTATAAAATGGAGGTTATAAAAGCTAAGGAGATTTTTTTCTTTCTTGTTTATTGCTTTATTTGAGACAAGGTGTCTCTCTCACCCAGGCTGGAGTGCAATGGTGCGATCACTGCTCACTGCAGCCTTGAGCCCACAGGCTCAAGCAGTCCTCTCATCTTAGCCTTCCAAGTAGCTGGGACCACAGGCATCCACCACCATGTCCAAATATTCATTTCATTTTATCTTATTTTATTTTATTTTATTTTATGTAGATACAGGGTCTCCCTATGTTGCCCAGGTTGGCCTTGAACTCCTGGGTCTAAGTGATCCTCCTGCCTCACGTTCTTAAAGTGCTGGGATTACAGTTGTGAGCCACCATGACCAACCTAACATTGGTTTACTGTGAGGAATATATGGGACATTAGTTTTGTTAGGGTGCATGATCACTTAAGATTTTATACGTATACATATATACATCAGGTAATATACATATACATATATACATTAGATTACACATATACATATGTACATCAGGTCTATACATATACATATATACATTAGGTTATATACATATACATATATAGATTAGGGTGTGTGATCATTTAAGATTTTATACATATACATATATACATTTCTTAAAGTGCTGGGATTACAGATGTGAGCCACCATGCCCAGCCTAACATTAGTTTACTGTGAGGAATGAATATATATAGATATACACACACATATATATATGTATATATATGTGTGTGTATATATATATGTGTACATATATGTGTGTGTGTGTGTGTGTGTGTGTGTGTGTATATATATATATATATATATATATATATATTCTTGGTTATCCAAGAAGAGGTTTGACTAAGACCATATCTATCTATATATATGTATGTGCATGTGTGTGTGTATATATATATATATTCCTCACATTATATATTTATATATATATTCCTCACAGTATATATTTATATATATATTCCTCACAGTATATATATATATATGTCACAGTATATATATATATATGTCACAGTATATATATATATACCTCATAGTATATATATATACCTCATAGTGTATATATATATATTCCTCACAGTATATATATATAGTATATATATATTCCTCACAGTATATATATATAGTATATATATATTCCTCACAGTATATATATATAGTATATATATATTCCTCACAGTATATATATAAATATATATATTATATATATATATATATATATTTATTAAGTGCATACTGTGCCAACACTGTTCTAAATCCTGAGAATTCTACAGGTCTGAATAAAATCCAGCCCTGAAATAAATAGAAGAGATGGACCCTTGCCTGTAAATGTAGGAGAAGCTCCCTTAAAGGAATTCCACTTAATTGAACTGTATGACATCAACTGATGCTCTCTGTTCCTACTGTAACATGTAATTGATAGATGTCCATGGTGCACTGAGAGTTAGGTTAATTTGGAGAATATATATATATATATATATATATATATATATATATATATATTCCTATATATATATATATATGTTCCTATATATATATATGTTCCTATATATATATATATGTTCCTATATATATATATACCTCACAGTATATATATACAGTATATATATAGTATATACATTATTCCTCACAGTATACAGAGTATATAAATTATATAGTATATTTTATTCCCCACAGTGTATATATAGCATATATCTAGTATATATATTATATATAGTATATATACACACACTATATATTATATATAGTATACATATACACTATATATATTACATATATAGTATATATATTCCTCACAGTATATATAGTATATCTATTATTCCTCACAGTATATATAGTATGTATATTATTCCTCACAGTATATATATACAGTATACATATATACTATATACAGTATATACTATATACACAGTATATACTATATAGAGTATGTATACAGTACACATACATACTGTATATATACTGTGAGGAATAATTGATATACTATATATACTATATATACTGTGAAGAATGTATATACACTATATATATACTGTGAGGAATATATATACACTATATATATTTTATACTCTATATACTATATATACTATATACTCTCTATATAGTATATGTTGTATACATATACTATATATACAATACATACTCTATATACTATATATACTCTATATACTATATATACTCTATATACTATATATATTATATATACTATATATAATATGTATATACTGTATATACTCTATATACAGTATATATACTATATATACTGTACTATATATACTATATACTATATATACTATATACACTATATACTATATATACTATATACACTATATACTATATATACTATGTATACTACATAGTATACTATATACACTATATATACTATATATACTATATACACTACATGTACTATATACGCTATATATACTATATATACTATATACACTTTATATACTATATATGCTATATACTATATACACTATATATACTATATATGCTATATACTATATACACTATATACTATATATACTATATACTATATATACTATATATACTATACATACTATATACTATATATACTATATATACTATACATACTACATGTACTGTGTATATATATACTGTGAGGAATATATATATACTGTGAGGAATATATGTATACTGTATATATATACTGTGAGGAATATATATATCTAAGATTTTATACATATACATATATATTTTTTTTCTGGGGACATATATACATATACATATATTCATATTTTTCTGGGGACTTGGGATGAATGGTTGTGTGACTAGATGTGAAATATATAAGGAGAGGAGATGAAACTCAGTGTTGAACATACTGAGTTACAGCTGGTGTTGGACATACAGGTGGAGTTGTCCATAAGATAGCTGGATATGTGGTTCTACAGCATGGAAAAGAGATCTAAGCCAAAGGTACAGACATAAGTATCATAGGCAATGAGAAACTGACACCATGTGATATTGGATGGGGTTATCCAAGAAGTTTGACTTAAGACCAGTGGCAACTGATGAATTTTCTAAAGCTAAATGTATCCAGTAGTTTAAATCCAACTTCATACCAAACATTTTCCCACTTATAGCCATAAACAAAGATTAAAAGAATCTAGTTTGATTTTTTTCCAAGTAAAGATGGTAATGAATAGTAAAATGATTCAGAAAAAGAAAGCCAGAATATAATTCAGAAGCCTGAATAATTTACAAATTAGAGACACGAAACCCAAAAGATTAAATATAAACTAGTGACTGAAAAAGGCACATGACTGATTATTCAAGGCACATGACTGATTACTCCTTCTATCTAAATCAGTAAAACACCCCCTACCCTACCTTCACCAGGCAGTACTGGGTAATGTCATTAGCATTCGACTTCTTCAAAGAGGAAAAGTTAAAGGAAGTACAGCAAAGTATACTCATATCTCCTTTTTTTTCAAGTTAAAGATAATAGAAAACCTGCCATGACATAAAATCTGCAAATATAATTTTAAAAATGCCAAAAAGATGAAAAGAAACTCAAAAGTATGGATCTCCAATTTCTTCCACTTTACTCTGAATAACAAAGCTGTTTTTCACATATATTGTGAACCTTTCAGCAATTTGCTGGAATAAAGATAAATCACCCTGCATTTCCATGTAATAAGAATGCTCTGCTGTCAGTCAGAAGTAGAGATTGTGGAACCTGATTAAATAATTTTTCATTCCTTTTCACTCTGTTTAAGAAAATTGTACTCCCTAAATTCATATAAAATACAGTTTGGTTTGCTATAACAACAACAACATAAAAGAAAACAGATGAATAAAATTCTAATGTTAGAGTACATTTTAAAATCACCAATTTAAAAAACCATATTAATTTTTTCAATTAATTTTCTGTATATTTCTTCATTAAAAGTGAAATATTTTAATACATCTCATTTCCAGTAGAAACATTTCAAGAAATATTTAATGCATATCCCCCAAAGCTTAAATATTTTATGGTCTCTTTTTCTTTGAATTTAAAAGTGCTTGTATTTCTAATATTAAATCAGTAAAATTGAAATATTCATATTCTATTTGTCTCTAAATTAAGAGTTCTCATTTTTCTCCATTCCTAAAATGTCTGTCTCAGCTACCTGAGAAGTAAAACACAGGGCACAAAAATAATAACCTGAAATAATCTGAAGGGCTTTGTTTTTATCTATGTCTATCAGTTTTTGTTGACTTAGCTCATCTCGCCTACTTGTAATTCTAAGATTTAAAGAATCACTGAATAATTTTGAGAAAAAAATATTTTTCCCTTTCTGGTGTTTACTTTTTTGTCATTATTATAGACTCACAGAAGAGATAGATTCAAGAAAAATTCAGAACATTAAATAATACAACAATCTGTGCATATTCATACTGACAATGCTAACAAAAGACAAAATGCCATAAAGAAACAGGAATTTGTTTTACCTGTCTAGGGACAACTGAACTTATTTTTTCAGTATTACTGTAAAGTAGCTCTTCAAGTGGAAAGACATATTAAAGATAAAATATTCTAAAGAAAGATACATTTAATATTTTTTGTCAGTCTTTACATGATTTTTACTCGTACCATAAATCAATAATGATTTTAGTCACTAATATTTATCAAATATTTTCAAATCATTCTACAAAGTTCTCATTTAAATGACAATTATTTTTCTTTTATATCCATATGTTATCCATTTATATAATATTTAAATTATACAATTATTAAGATAGAATTCACAGCACAGGGTGGTAAAGTATTAGTATTGCTCTATTTATTAAACCAGTGGGAACATATATATTTCATTTATTATTATAATTAAAGTTGTGTCTCTCTGTTGTATACACTATTTTATGTGTATTTTTTTAAAAAAATAAGTTCAATTGGTATAAACATAATTGGGAAAAAATAGTCCATTCTCCTGCTAAGTAGGTAAGACTATTTTTGGTGGTGAATGCAGAAAACATCCCCAAATTAACCTAACTCTCAGTGCACCATGGAAAACTATCAATTACATGTCACAGTAGGAACAGACAGCATCAGTTGATGTCATACAGTTCAATTAAGTGGAATTCCTTTAAGGGAGCTTCTCCCACATTTACAGGCAAGGGTCTATCTCTTCTGTTTATCTGCGATCTTACATTTCGGGGCTGGATTTTATTCAGACCTGTAGAATTCTCAGGATTTAGAACAGTGTTGGCACTGCATGCACTTAATACTTGTAAAATGAATAAAAGAATGTAGAATTACTGAAACATTTACACATTCATTTTACTTATGCTTCTATCACAAGAAATTAAGTAGTTCTCATTTCAATATTTTGTCATTTACATCTTGCTTCTGCACTTAGTAACTCAGAATTAATTGGGTGATAGTAATTTCCGTCTCCAGATTGTAGTTACATGGTGAGACATAGGAAAATGAGTTTCAGGGATTTACGTGATACCTGATGTTTTCAGGCATGAAATGAAGTTGTATTTATTATATATCATTTTAAAAAATCACTTTGATGCTCTCTAAAACATTCTGAAATTTCTACCAGAAAAATGAAATTATTTAAAGAGTTACAAAAAGTTATAATCACAGTTTACCTAGAAACTGAAAGGGAAATATTTCAAATCCTTGGTTTTCTGAAATTGAAATAACCCTTTAGAATCTTAAGAACAGTGATATGTTTCGACAGATATTTTATGATAAAATTAACCACCATGACTAACAGCACTGAGTGTTTTTGACAGGATATAAGGCCAAACACTTTGTTGTATTATTATTTGCATTCAGGATTAATTCTGTCCATGCACAGACACAAATGTCGTATTTAATCCCATAGAACATAATAACCACTTTATAAACATAGAGCTATCCACAATATCAGTTTATTAGCATTAGGAATTACAGAATTCTATCTCCAGCTGTTCTTTGTGAAGTTCAGAAACCAAACAATTAAACAAGAATACATTTACATTTCTAAGTGCTCAAGATAAATGGTCTCTCTGGTCTTCCCTGTTACGGAGAACTCCATAAATCTAATCCTTGAAGATATATCTACTGAGGCAATGTCTACATGACACCAAAGCATTCATATGAAAAAGAGAAAACTGAATGATCCAAATGTCTCCCAATATCTGGGGTTTTGGCCTCATGTAGATAAAACACTTGAGACACTGAGACCTTTCATTTAGTGTATGTGTTCTGAATCACTTATATGCAGTAGCGAAACAGATTTGAGCAGCTCCCCACTGAGCAATGTAACATTCACATCAAAGCACAATCTTGAGTATGAACATCTGCCTAAGAACTAGGAAACACCCCTAAATAAGTGTAGAGCCTCAGTCAGCCAAGCCTAAGTTAGGTGAATTTTATAAGATCTAAAATTATACATGTGGATGTGGATAGATGATAGATAGATAGCTAATAGATAGATAGATAGATAGATAGATAGATAGATAGATAGATAAATAGATAGATATCTGATATACGTACCCACACACAGATGAAGAGGAGAGTCTAGAAGTGTCTATGCCAAATTATCTTTGAAATAATCCCTTTACGTTGTCATTCCCCTGTTGAAAAATTTGTAATGCTCTATCACTTTTCAGTGGTTTCTGAAGAGTTTTTGGCTATAGAAGCTTTTGTTTGAATGAAATTTTACATAGAAATTCACTATGCAAAATATATAAGAGCAGTTCTGCACTGATAAAAGCCTAAAACCCTGTTGAAGTGGCCCCATAGATGCAACAGAACACAGGTTGACAACCACTAATCCATGCAATAAATCCACACTCTTGTCTGCCTTTCATAAATCTGTCCCAACTTACCTATCTTTCATTTGAGCATTCATTAATTCAAAAAATATTAATTGAGCAATACTTATGTTAGACACTATAAGACACTGAAGACACAAATATAAATAAGACTATGGGTGGGGCACAGTGGCTCACACCTGTAATGCCAGCACTTTGAGAGGCTGAGGCAGGTGGATCACCTGAGGTCAGGAGTTCGAGACCAGCCTGGCCAACATGGCGAAGCCCCATTTCTACTAAAAATACAAAAAAAATTAGCCAGGTGTGGCGGCACATGCCTGTAGTTCCAGCTACTCAGGAGGCTGAGGCACAAGAATCATTTGAACCTGGGTGGCAGTGGTTGCAGTGAGCAGAGATCGCACCAATGCACTCTATCCTGGGCAACAGAGTGAGACTCCCTCTTAATAAAAAATAAATAAATAAGACTAAGACTGTGTTCTCAAGAAATTTACATTCTAAAAGAAAAGGCAAACATAAAAAAATTAATATAATGTGATTAGCATCATGTCTGTACATATGTCACAAAGGAAAGAATAATTAATCATATAGATTAGTAAAGGAAAACTTTACCAAAACATATGTTTGAATTGGATCTTGAAAGAAGGCACAAGGAAATAAAGAATGTATAGGAGTTTGATGGGTGAATAAATGGGTAAGGGTAATTTTTAGTAGAAAAGCACAGAACAAAAGCACAGGACATGTGAGAATGTGGTGCCTTTGAATAACAGAGAACTCTAGGGTGGCTGAAATGTAGGATAGGAAGGGAACTTAACTACTCACAGAGCAAATTAAAGGGTACATTTCCCCATAATCAATGGGAAGCAATCCTTGAAATAGCCATGTAGGTCCATATTTAAAAGCAATAAAACCTATTTATTAAGCACACGTCTTCGATATCAGACAAATCTTAATTTCATTTCTGGTACTCTTACCATGTTTTAAGGCAAGTACTAGGTTTCCATGTCCTCATGCACAAACTGGGGTAATATCTATTTGACAAGGTTACTATAGAGATTATATAAAATCATATACGTAAAGTCAGTGCATAACAAGTTGTTATTACTATCATTGTCATCGTTATCCTTAGTGTTTGGTTTGGTCTCTCCTCATAACCATGTTTGTTCATATTGTGTTCCTAAAACACATAGAATAGATCCCTTTTTCCATCTATTTAACTAAAATGGACTTATCCTTCAGTCCCAGGCCAAATTCCTTTGACAAGACCTTTCCTGTCTGTGAATATTAAGAACACTTAAAATCAGTACCTCCCACCTAATTTTTAAATAATCATTATCATATGTAAAATATGTAAATATGCATATATATATATATATATATATATATATATATATATATACATGTTTTGCCTACCAAACTAGTTTGTAATCTCTATAAAAACTCTAACAATATTTTCTGATTTCTTTACAAACCCTTGTGCCACCACCATCAGACTCTATTTACATACTCTCCACAAAATCACTTTCAAATCCTGTCACTTCTTTCTTTCCCACAGCCAACTTAGAGCTCATTAAGACTTTCATTATTTGACACAGCACTATTTTCCCATTTATTATTGCCACATCATTTGGCTTTCCATCCAGTTTGGAAAGACACAGTAACTCCTTTCAACAATGCTCTATTTGCTTCCTAGAATTATCTATCTCGGTGACCACTTCCAACACATCGGACCTGCCAATTTTAACCCCATGACAAATTGCAGTATGGTTTAGCCCCTACTGCTTCTACACAGGTGTTGCTATAGAAAATCATGAAAATTTGCTAATTGTTTTCACTACATATTCATGCACCCTAAACATGGAGAAGCTTTCAGTTCTAATCAGATATCTTTTAATGTTTTTCTAGCTGAGTTCCAATTTTATTCCCTACACATCTCAGCACCCACTACTTGTTTTACTTTCCAGTCTGCTGTCCATTTCCCTTATTTTGTGTAGATAATTCTACTTAAATTATTTTCAAAAATGAGTTCTTCAGGTAGTTATTCCTTCATTTTACTCACAATTTTAAAATGCCCATGATTCTTCTCCCATCCTTTTTTTGTTATTAATTTTAGAGGAAGGTACATTCAGCTCTGAACTCGGGAGGTAAACCAGGTCTCTTTACTTCCTCTAGACTTTTATTCTATCAACTATATTCTCTTATCATTTTAATTTTCTCCACTCTATATTGAAGCATGAAAATTTAACAAGTGAATAAAGGGGGAGATTTTATTTTTGGCAGAGGAAACTGTGCAAAAGCACAGTCTAGTACTAATAAACTGTGTACTAATAAACTCAACTTCTTGTGTTAAGACACAGTTTTATATTTCTCATAGAATTAATCTACCAAATTATCAAGTTAAGGTTCTAACATATGAGAAAACATTATGTTTATGTTGCCTTCATTTACTCAACCTAATCAGTCCTCAAACTGTTGCCATTTGGCATTCATCGCCACTACTGGAATAAAACTACTTTCTTGATTATCACAAATGTGTTTATAAATTCCAAAGCATGTAATCTGGTGTTGATTACTTCATTCTTCTTCCTGAAACCCGTAAACTTAACAAAAAAAGCAGGAAAAGAAATTTCATCTTCAATGAACTCACAGGCCAGGAGCTTTGACTCATGCCTGTAATCCCAGCACTCTGGGAGGCCAAAGCAGGTGGATCGCTTGAGCCCAGGAGTTCAAGAACCAGCCTGGGCAATATGGCAAAACTTCATCTTTACTAAAAAATACAAAAATTAGCTGGGCACAGTGGCACAAGCCTGTAGTCCCAGCTAGTTGGCTGGGGCAAGAGGATCACCTGAGCCTAGTGAATTAGGTGAGATTCACTGCTGAAGCTGGAGCTGGAATTATCACACCCAAACATATTGCCACTATGTATTAGAACTATGTCAGAGTGAACCATAGGGAGAGAGTTAACAAATGATGACTGCATATGGAATGCGAATATTCTTCCAAGTGCTTTCCCTAACTAACTTTTTTCTCTATTTTTCCCCATTACACTGATTTTTCTTTCTTCCAGACTTCAACTCTAACTTCTGTGTAGCTTGATACTAAACACATTGTTGGTTCTCTGGAGAGACAGAACCAATACGATGTATGAGAAGATTTCACAAGATCGCAAAGGTGGAAAAGTCCGACAATAGGCCCTCTGCAAGCTGGGGAGCCAAAGAAGCCGGTAGAGGTAATGCGACTCACTTAGCAAGCCTGAGACCCAGGGAAGCCCACTGTGCAACCCCCAGTTCGAGGCTGAAGGCCGAAGAGCCCCCAGGAGGCTCCTGGTGCGGGTCCCAGAGTCCAAAATCCAAAGAACCTGGAATCTGATGTCCAAGATTAGGAGGAGTAAAGCATCCAGCTCCAGAAGGGAGGAAGAGACCAATGAGAAAGAAAATCTGCCTTCCCAGTTTGTCCCATTGAAGATACCAGTCACAGGATGGTGCCCACCCACACTGAGGGCAGGGCTTCCTCTCTCAGTCCACTGATTTATATGTCAATCTCCTCTGGACACCCCTTCATAGACACACCCAAACACAGTGTTTCCTCAGCCATCTAGGCATTCCTCAATCCAATCAAGTAGATACCTAAAATTAAGCATTACACAGTCAAATCATAAGTAGAATGTTGTTGGGGAGAAGGAAGCATATACTTCCTATCATTGGACTCGTTGTACTAGTTTTGAAGGGGTAAAATACATTCCAATGACATGGTTCCCAATATCAGAGCTGAATTCATGTTCTTTTGACAGAAACATTGGGTTACTACTAGTTTTAATGTTCCCATCACTGGAAGTTTTAGGAATGAGGACAATGCTTCAGGCACTATCTTTCTGTTTTCACATCTAAATGGCTAGACCTATCCCTGACCCCAAGTGGTAGGCTCATGACTCTTACCATCCCCAGACCACTTCTCTTACCTGTGTCCAAGCTCCCAAATCCTGATGTTTTCTTTTGATCTCCATACTTCCTTTTCCTCCATATTCTAACTCAGTCAAGTGTAGTTTTTTAACGTTTATACCATTTTTTAACGCCTATTTTTCCCATTTTTACCTGAAATTCTAGTTTAGTCTGCATCATTTCTCATTTTAATTGCTCTAATAGGTGCTGAGCCAGCATCCAGGATTTAAGCCTTCCCTAACCCATTCTGATGCACAGTGATAATATTTTAAAAACTCAAATAATCACACCTCAAATTATGTTCCTTCATGTTTCAATTTCTCCTCATTGCCTATTACCTAAATAAAGCTCATCACACTTCTTAGCCTAACCTTCACATCCTTCTTTAATTTGGCTTCAATATACCCTTCTAGCCTATATTCCACTGCCTTGCTTACATAGTCCACTATTAGCAAACAATGGCTCAGCATTGTTTCAGATACCCTGCTCTCCAGTCTATGTTTCTAACCACAGTTTTTATCCACTTAGAATGCCTTTCCATTATCACTGCTATAAAAATTCTAACATTTCTCAAGGACCAACTTAAATGTCATTTCTAGACAATAAATTAACTAACCCTCTCATTCAAATTGAAACACTTTCTTGTTTATACTTTCATAATTGTCAGAAGTATCCTTGTTATGGCGTTTATAAGATTTTTGTTTATTCTACATTTTATTTTATAGCCTTTATATTTATTGCTATTCATCTTATTTATGTTAATTTTATAGTTTTGTTATTTGTTATCTTTTTACTGGTCACAAGATCTAGCACAATACCTGTACACATAAGCATTTAAAAAGTAAAGTTTTATGTATTGTCTAAAAAGGAGATAGATATGTGACAATATGCAGTACTTTCTTTACACTTTTATATTTTTTAGTCTGGTAAACCTATCTACTTGGTGAATTTCCTTTGGTCTTCTTTCTACAGTTAATAAATGAAATGATGGGCTTTTTTTTTTAATGTGGTTCAATACTTCAAGGAAAACAAAACCTCAACTTTTCCTAGACTTAAACTTTAAAAGTAACAATAGAATATTACTCTTTTAAATTTCCACCTCCAGCAAAGAAAATCAGTGTCTTCCAACTGATGGGAGAAAAAAAAAAAAAAAAAAAAAAAACTAAAACTGTATTTTTTTTAATTTAAAGGTTTTTTCATATCAGATTTTAAAATAACAAAAATATCAGATTTTGAAAACTGAACTGTATGTTTTCAAATAAATGCATATTTCATTTATTTGAGATCAAGAGTATGTCTGTTTTACAAAAACATGATTTGATTAAGAATTTGAATATGGAAATACCTGTTAAAGTAGGACATAGTGGCATTTTTTATTAATGACCATTACACTCTACTCAGGTAACAGCCTGTAAACCTTAGTTATAAGTCCAAGTCTTTCTCGTGAATTTCTACTGTATTTTTCTCCATCTAAACTGGCAGTGATAGAATAAACATATTACATACCAAATAGTGACTTTCAATGTATAAGCAAAGCACTATCCAAATTGTAGATGGTACAGAAGATCATGGGGAAAAAGTCAAATATTCCAGTCCTAGGTAAAAAGGTATGGTTTTGGTAGTCTTTCTTCAACACTCTTCTGCCTACCACACATACCTCTCCAAGTTAGACACCTACTCTGGCTCCATCAGCGATCTGGCCACCATCATCTCCATTCCAAGTCAGCTGTCAGAATATTTACCAAGTTACAAATAAACATCTTGATTTATTCTTCTCTCTAAAGTACTTACTTTAAGAGACTTTGCTTCTTAACCCAAATAAATGTCTCAAAAAAAGGAAGATATTGGGCATGTCCTAGGAAAAAGAAAATGAATTTTGGGATCAGCGTTTCCAAAGCAGCAAAATCAAAATGGTATAGATGTTGAGGGCAGTGGCTCACACCTGTAATGCCAGCACTTTGGAAGGCCAAGGAAGCAGGAGTGTTTTGAGGCCAGGAGTTCAAGACCAGCCTGGGCAACATAGCAATACTCCTATCTTTACAAAAAAATGTTAAAAATTAGCCAGGTGTGGTGGCACATGCCTGTTGTCCTAGCTACTTGAGAGGCTGAGTTTGAATGATTGCTTGAGCCCAGGAATTTGAGGTTACAATGAGCTATATAACCTTAAATTCATGCCACTGCACTCCAGCCTGGATGGCAAGGCAAGACCCTGTCAAAAAAAAAAAAAAATACCCTGTGTACTCCTGGTGTTATTGGTCATGCCTCTGAAGGAAAATACAGGCAATAGAAAATGCCAGGACTTGAGATCTCAGAATTCCATGTCTAAGTCATAGCTAGACACCCAACACAAGGTTAATACATACTGTGTTGCTACTAGAGTATCAGCCTCCATTTTTTTGTTATTTCTTCCCTTGTCAATTTTATTATAATACAGAAATATTCAATATCTTCTTTTCTCCTCTTCTTCTTAAGCAAAGGCAGGCTTCCCTACATGGAATTTTTATTTTCAAACCCAATTTACACAACTGCCACATAGAACAGTAAAAACAAAGAGGGAAAATTCAAAGATATTTAATTCTTTTGCAATCCTACCAAAGATTCATTCACCACAAAATCTTATGAATGAAATTTTGTTCTTGAATCCTAGCCAAGTTCTTCTATTTTGGAAACTGAATAAAGGATGAGATAATTGAGCTTTCTCTAAACATTAGAGCATGCTTTCTACATGTTTGCATTGTTAATAACAAGAATAATAATGTCTATTTATCTAGGGCTCAATTTCATATTAGGTACTGTTCAAAAGACTTTGCATATGTTATCTCATTTAATCACCACAAAAATCAGTGAGTTAGATACTATTATTATTCTCATTTTACAGATACTTGTCATATCTTGCTCAAGCATATATAACAGTTAGAAAGGAGTAGAGTCAAGACTCACAGTTAAGCTGTACAGTTCCAGAGTCCATCCATGGCCCTTCCTAAATATGCTTGAACACTTTTCTCTTTTCATTTGATTTTTGAAACACTTCTGTGACAGAGTCATGGGTGAGTATTTTCATTTTGCAAATAAGAAAACTGAAGCTCAGAGGTATTTGGCAACTTATTAAGTTTTAGACTGTATTTTTCAATATGATATCCACTATGTGTCTATATAATTAAGTTACTTAAAATTAAATATTTGGTCCCTCAGCCACATTGCAAATGCTCAATAACTCTATACAGCTAGTAGCTACTGTTCTGAAGAGTACAGATATATACCATGTCCATTATTGAAGAAAATTCTACTGGACGTCACTTCTTTCTAAAGTACGTCCTTTGTTTGTATCAACAGGAGCAGGAAGATCTTATCCTTAAGGTCCAAAGGATTTACTGAGATAAAATACTTTATGCACCTGCAGCACAGCCAAAGTATTGGTAATACAAAAGAAGAGCAATTTATAAAGTTAATGCATTTTAATATAGTAATCACCAGTTTCATTTTTAAGCTTAGATTATACAAAAGGAACAATTGATGAAAGATCAGAATATATAAAAAAAATTACAAAACATAAAAGAGAAAAACTGTCTAGTTCAATTTGGAATTAGCCTAGAATCATAATTTTTTTCATTAGCGTTCAATTTATTAAGCTAATCTACTCTGTACAAAAAAAATATAAAAATTGGTAATCATATTCTGTAAGTTTTACAATGCAAAGTTTCCAAAGTTGTGAAAAAATTTAAATAATGGTTTGCGTTTTACTGGTACATATGCAGATCACTCAATAGGAATTCCCTAAACTGGAAATAAGGTGCCCCTTTTTATAATGAAATCTATGGATTTAAAATAGATTTCTTTACGTAGATATTTTGTGCCCTTTGATCAGTGCTCACCACTTTCATGAACACTTGACTAAAACTAAGGTGATGTAGACAGTAATGGCCTTATAAGACCCTATTTCCTGGAAATTTTAATTTGACACAAAATACCTTATCATTAATTTGCTGAAATTAAATTAATTTAGTAAACAAGTAAAGTAATTTAGTAAACAAGCTGGTGCTTCATTTTAAAGACAATATATCATCCCTTTAAGAAAAGTATGTAAGTTTTTGTTTGTATCCTCTTCAATTTCATTGAGCAGTGGTTTGTAGTTCTCCTTGAGGAGGTCCTTCAGGTCCCTTGTAAGGTGGATTCCTAGGTATTTTATTCTCTTTGAAGCAATTGTGAATGGGAGTTCACTCATGATTTGGCTCTCTGTTTGTCTGTTATTGGTGTATAAGAATGCTTGTGATTTTTGTACATTGATTTTGTATCCTGAGACTTTGCTGAAGTTGCTTATCAGCTTAAGGAGATTTTGGGCTGAGACAATGGGGTTTTCTAGATATACAATCATGTCGTCTGCAAACAGGGACAATTTGACTTCCTCTTTTCCTAATTGAATATCCTTTATTTCCTTCTCCTGCCTAAACGCCCTGGCCAGAACTTCCAACACTATGTTGAACAGGAGTGGTGAGAGAGGGCATCCCTGTCTTGTGCCAGTTTTCAAAGGGAATGCTTCCAGTTTTTGCCCATTCAGTATGATATTGGCTGTGGGTTTGTCATAGATAGCTCTTATTATTTTGAGATACATCCCATCAGTACCTAATTTATTGAGAGTTTTTAGCATGAAGCGTTGTTGAATTTTGTCAAAGGCCTTTTCTGCATCTATTGAGATAATCATGTGGTTTTTGTCTGTGGTTCTGTTTATATGCTGGATTACATTTATTGATTTGCGTATATTGAACCAGCCTTGCATCCCAGGGATGAAGCCCACTTGATCATGGTGGATAAGCTTTTTGATGCGCTGCTGGATTCGGTTTGCCAGTATTTTATTGAGGATTTTTGCATCAATGTTCATCAAGGATATTGGTCTAAAATTCTCTATTTTGGTTGTGTCTCTGCCAGGCTTTGGTATCAGGATGATGCTGGCTTCATAAAATGAGTTAGGGAGGATTCTCTCTTTTTATATTTATTGGAATAGTTTCAGAAGGAATGGTACCAGTTCCTCCTTGTACCTCTGGTAGAATTCGGCTGTGAATCCTTCTGGCCCTGGACTCTTTTTTTTGTTGGCAAGCTATTGATTATTGCCACAATTTCAGCTCCTGTTATTGGTCTATTCAGAGATTCAACTTCTTCCTGGTTTAGTCTTGGGAGAGTGTATGTGTCGAGGAATTTATCCATTTCTTCTAGATTTTCTAGTTTATTTGCATAGAGGTGTTTGTAGTATTCTCTGATGGTAGTTAGTATTTCTGTGGGATCAGTGGTGATATCCCCTTTATAATTTTTTATTGCGTCTATTTGATTCTTCTTTCTTTTTTTCTTTATTAGTTTTGCTAGCAGTCTATCAATTTTGTTGATCCTTTCAAAAAACCAGCTCCTGGATTCATTAATTTTTTGAAGGGTTTTTTGGAAGAACATTCCATGCTCATGGGTAGGAAGAATCAATATCGTGAAAATGGCCATACTGCCCAAGGTAATTTATAGATTCAATGCCATCCCCATCAAGCTACCAATGACTTTCTTCACAGAATTGGAAAAAACTACTTTAAAGTTCATATGGAACCAAAAAAGAGCCCGCATCGCCAAGACAATCCTAAGCCAAAAGAACAAAGCTGGAGGCATCATGCTACCTGACTTCAAACTATACTACAAGGCTACAGTAACCAAAACAGCAGGGTACTGGTACCAAAACAGAGATATAGATCAATGGAACAGAGAAGAGCCCTCAGAAATAACGCCGCATATCTACAACTATCTGATCTTTGACAAGCCTGAGAAAAACAAGCAATGGGGAAAGGATTCCCTATTTAATAAATGGTGCTGGGAAAACTGGCTAGCCATATGTAGAAAGCTGAAACTGGATCCCTTCCTTACACCTTATACAAAAATAAATTCAAGATGGATTAAAGACTTACATGTTAGACCTAAAACCATAAAAACCCTAGAAGAAAACCTAGGCATTACCATTCAGGACATAGGCATGGGCAAGGACTTCATGTCTAAAACACCAAAATCAATGGCAACAAAAGCCAAAATTGACAAATGGGATCTAATTAAACTAAAGAGCTTCTGCACAGCAAAAGAAACTACCATCAGAGTGAGCAGGCAACCTATAGAATGGGAGAAAATTTTTGCAATCTACTCATCTGACAAAGGGCTAATATCCAGACTCTACAATGAACTCAAACAAATTTACAAGAAAAAAACAAACAACCCCATCAAAAAGTGGGCGAAGGACATGAACAGACACTTCTCAAAAGAAGACATTTATGCAGCCAAAAAACACATGAAAAAATGCTCACCATCACTGGCCATCAGAGAAATGCAAATCAAAACCACAATGAGATACCATCTCACACCAGTTAGAATAGCAATCATTCAAAAGTCAGGAAACAACAGGTGCTGGAGAGGATGTGGAGAAATAGGAACACTTTTACACTGTTGGTGGGACTGTAAACTAGTTCAACCATTGTGGAAGACAGTGTGGCAATTCCTCAGGGATCTAGAACTAGAAATACCGTTTGACTCAGCCATCCTATTACTGGGTATATACCCAAAGGACTATAAATCATGCTGCTATAAAGACACATGCACACGTATGTTTATTGCGGCACTATTAACAATAGCAAAGACTTGGAACCAACCCAAATGTCCAACAATGATAGACTGGATTAAGAAAATGTGGCACATATACACCATGGAATACTATGCAGCCATAAAAAATGATGAGTTCATGTCCTTTGTAGGGACATGGATGAAATTGGAAATCATCATTCTCAGTAAACTATTGCAAGAACAAAAAACCAAACACCGCATATTCTCACTCATAGGTGGGAATTGAACAATGATAACACATGGAGACAGGAAGGGGAACATCACACTCTGGGGACTGTTGTGGGGTGGGGGGAAGGGGGAGGGATAGCATTGGGAGATATACCTAATGCTAGATGACGAGTTAGTGGGTGCAGCGCACCAGCATGTCACATGTATACATATGTAACTAACCTGCACATGGTGCACATGTACCCTAAAACTTAAAGTATAATAATAATAATAAAAAAAGAAAAGTATGTAAGTTTTTGTTATTTGGGGAAAAATCCACAGACATAAATGAGAATAAGAAAGAAGGATAAGAAAACAATTTTGTGCTTGGGACAGGCAGAGCTAGAGGCTCTGAAGGCACAGAATATCAAATTTAAATTTTTATCAGTTTAAAGGGAAATGACCCAGTGTCATATGTAGAGATCTCAATTCTCTCAGGAAGAGAGAAATGAGTGGATTCCTTGGAACTGGAACAAGTTAGCACTATAGAAAAGCTTTCAACAGCAAATTTTCCAACACCACTCCTCAACTGTAACCCCATCTAGTGAAAGTAGTTGAGTTTTGTGGCTCCTAAAAGACAGAGAAAGAATGAGAGATTGGAAGGTGCAGGAAATGGGGAGATGTTGTCTAAAGGGCACAAACGTTTAGTTATAAAACAAATAAGCTCTGAGGATCTAATGTAGAGCATGGTGAGCATTGTTACTAATGGTGTATTGTGTATTTGAAATTTGCTAATAAACCTGAACTGTTCTGTTAAAAAAAGGTATCTATGAGTGCTGTTATACATATATGAAGTCACCTCGCACACTTAAAATATATACAATTTTATTTTGAATTATATTTCAATAAATTCAAGTGAAAAAGAAGGAAAATAATGAGAGACATAGAGACAGAAGAGAAAAAGAAAATGTGCAAGAGAGGAATCACTTCCTTTTGGAATAAATGGAATTACCAATCTACAGAGGCGAGGCCAGACCAGCTCTGCACATTGTGCATTAGTGAGGTGCAATGGGGACCTGAAGGAATGGCAGGAGGTGGGTGAGCATGAAGGGGAGAGCAATACCTCATGCTTCCTTCCCTTTTTCATGAATTACCTGCCCTCTATAAGCTAGAAGTAGGCTTGTACATGAGATGTATTTCTAAAAATCAGCAATAAGAATAAGCAAAATAGTTCATTTACCCCCAGGGAGCCATGGATTGTACTTCCAGGTTTGTGTTTCCTGAGGGAAATCTTTTGAGCAAAGAAATGAAAGCATACTGCATTTCTGACCTAAGATGGAAATTATTTCTTTAAATCTTATCCATGAAAGAAACCTTGAAAACCCAGGCATCTCCTTTCAAATTCTATTAAAACCATGTTGCACCCTTAAGAAGAGGAACAGTTTTCCTACTTTTAAACTACCCCAAAGAAAGATGCTTCGAGATCTACAGCAGAATAGTTCTTCTAATGTTTTAGAACTTATGCCATGTACATACAATAAAGTATAATAAAATCCTTCCTCTGTATAAACAAGTCTCTCAAGGAGCTCACCCTCTTTGCCTTTTCTTCAGTGGAGATAAGCTTTTCATAGACAAATATCAAATCACCAGAAGCCTTCAGCACTTCATGCTGAGACTCTTCTCCATTTTTTAACATTTCAATTAAGTACATTTTTTCCAGTCACTTCAATGATTTTTTTAAAAAAACACTCTGTGAATAAATTGCAATCATGTAACTTTAGTTATCTATAACACATTGACTCAAATTTGATTCATTTATTTCAAATGTGACCAGGCAATTTGTTTCTGTAATTACCAGATAAAGGAAAGTAAACATTTCCTTTAGGAATCAATAAATATATTTCTCTTGATTATGCTCTAAAAATAAATGCAAAGATACAATTGCAAATAAAATGCTTAGCTACTCATTTTATTAATTTTGCCATTTTGAATTTGGCAAGCCAGTTTTTCAAGGCACTGGTGTGTGTAAAAAAAGGGCTTATTTTTATGTTTTTTAATATAGTAAGTTTCAACTGATGATTTATTTCATGCAAATAATTAAACACCAAATTACAGTATGTGGTGAGTAGAAATTGCTAATAGAATATGCCTATCAAACCTGGGGAATATTACAGTGTGCATATGGGTTCAGTTCAGTTAACAGAAAAATTGGATTCCAATCATTTACTCTTGATAGCAATTTTACCCTCTGTTTTTAGGTTCACCTGACATAACAGTACAAGACAAGCTATATTTGCAAAATAACACCTGGGAGCATGCCTTGCACAAAATTCATTATTTGCTTAACAGTTTTATGCATGTCCTGTACATTATTTGAAAAGTCATCAGGTGCACAGTTGACATGTTACTAGGGGATTCTGCTTCTGCATTTTTTCAATGAAAAGTGACACATTTAAAGATCAGAACATAGGAAGGTTTCTTTGCAGTAGTATATCAAAGTAGCTAGGTTAAAACTGGAATGACTTTTCCTCCTTCATAAACTCCTGTCTAATATCTGTGAAAGCTGAAATATTAATTAGCAGCATAATTGTTTGAGGATAGTTTAATTTTTTCACATTAATCCTTCCATTAAATAGATAAAAGTCTTTCCACACCCGCTCTTCAGACTATTATGTACTTTCATTAACTTTCTTTCTGGCCAGAAAGAAAGATTGTAGCTATACTAATTACCATTAGGACCTGAAAAGATTACCAGTGCTACATAAATAAACATAAATTAGGAAGAAAACAATTTTATGTTCTGATATTATGCATTATAATAACGCCACTTCCCATAAAATACCATTCATATTTTTTGGTAAATTCAGTCTTTGTTATATTTACTTTGCTTCTATCCTAAATTGTAGAAATAGACATCCACAGCCATCTTCTGAAAATTCACATAATTTGATCGCAAAGGGAATTGAAACGAGAGATGTGAGAGATTACAGCAACTTGATAACATGTATCATAGAGATATACACGACTGTCCTCCTTGCAGTGAATTAATGGTGTCAGAATTGTAAACATACAAATCAAGTGACATAATTATGCAGACTAATATTTACGTAGGCACTGTTCTAAGGGGTTTACCCATATTATCACTTTTACTATAAGAACCCCCTGATGTAGGTATTATTAATTTCCATTTCACAGATAAAGAGACTGAAACACAGATCTAGTTAAAGGCAGAGCCTAGATTTGATCACACAGGCTGGTTCCAGAGTTTGGCTGGCTGTGCTTATTACTACCACAATGTTTTAGGCCACTGTGTATAAGGCTCATGCCAAACACCAAATGTGGGTATAGAATGTCAAGTCTAAATAACACTGTGGAAACATTTTTCTAACTAAACTCTCATTGCTGCTGCTCCCAGAATCTATAAATGCTCCAGTTTGGCTCTGAGCCACCTCCAGAAGAAATGAAATATCCCTGTCTTATTGAAGAATGTTCATGGAACTCAAATTCTATAGAACAGTAACATCAAGTTACAGCAACATTTGGCATTCATAAAAATCTCTCCAGCTAGAAGTCACAGTGCTATTTGGCAGGACATTATGCTTTTATAATTTTATTTGGATTAATCAATTGTTTTAACCATAGTGTTCTGAACTTGGCAAGACACTAAAACGAGCAATTGGAACGCTGTTGTATTAGTTTTCTATAGCTGCTAAAACAAACAAAAAATACTTTTAAAGGCTTAAAACAAAATTTATTTAATAACTTGCTATTGCTGGGGTGTATTACTCAGGGTTCTCCAGAGGGACACAACTAATAGGATATACGTGTATATATAAAAGGGAATTTATTAAGAAGAATTGGCTTACACAGTCACAAGGTAAAGTCCCATGATAAGCCGTCTGCAAGATGAGGGAGAAAGAAGCCAGTAGTGACTCAGTCCAAGTCCAAAAGCCTTCAAAGCAGGGAAGCTGACAGTGCAGCCTTCAGTCTGTGCCTGAAGGCCTGAGAGCTCCCAGCAAACCACTGATGTAAGTCCAAGAGTCCAAAAGCCAAAGAACCTGGAGTCTGATGTCCAAGGGCAGGAGGACAGAAGGAATCATCTAGCATGGGAGAAAGATGAAAGCGAGAAGACTCAGCAAGCTGATCCCACCTTCTTTCACCTACTTTGTTCTAGCCTCGCTGGCAGCCAATTGGATGGTGCGCACCCACATTGAGGGTGAGTCGTCCTCTCCCAGTCCACTGACTCAAATGTCAATCTTCTCTGGCAACACCCTCACACCCAGAAACAATACTTTACCAGCTATCTGGGCATCCTTCAATCCAATCAAGTTGACACCTAATATTAGCCATCACACAGGAGTCAGTTGTCCAGGCATCATCTAGCTGGGTTGTCTGTTAAAGGGTCTTGCTAGCCTAAAATCAAGGTATCAGCCAGGTCTACGTTCTCATCTAGTTTTTACTTGGAGTTCTCATCCAAATTCATGCATGCTGTTGGCAGAATTCACTACCTTGTGGTTACAGAACTGAAGTCCCTGGTTTCTTCCTGGCTGCTAGCTAGTAGTCACTCTAATCTCCAACAGTCACCCTCAGGAACTACCCACAAAGCCCTCTCAAACCATGGCAGCTACTTTTTCAAATACACCAGGAGAATTTCTCTTCAGGAGGGACCCGGTTTCTCTTTTAAGGGCCCAACTGACTAGGTCAGGTCCATGAAGAAAAATCACCATTTTGATTAACTCAAAGGCAACTCAGTAGGAACCTTAATTATATCTGTAAACTACTTTTAACCTGCCCTAATCTATTGGTTAGAAGTTAGTCACAGTTTTCACTTGCACTTAGTGGAAGGGGTATATACAAGGGATTTTGGCAGAATTCATATACTGTCTATTACAACTAGGGAGTGATGGAAAAGAAATTATAAATTATATAAACTAGTTAATTTAATATAATAAAATAATTGTTTGACCCTTTATATGTGGGTGTTTCAATTCTCAAGAACTTTCCCTTCTCCCTTAAGACATTTCCTACAGAGAATACCAAATCTGAAGAAAGTATTAGCTCATTCATTTTATTTTGGGTCACAAGTTTTTATTTACCCCAACACTTAACTAAAAATCACATAAGGATGCTTACAGAATGAGCTGTGTGTGTGTGTGTGTGTGTGTGTGTGTGTGTGAGAGAGAGAGAGAGAGACTTTTTCTTTTTATCACTTTCTTTTCATACTCATGTATTTTAAAGGTGTTGAAAGTTATCACATGAACACGGACCATTTCCTGAAGACAAATTCATAACATTTTGATGAACACTTCTTGTAAAACATAAAACTATTACAAAAATCTTTTTAGCATTTCGCTAACTGTATCTTTTGTTTCATCTTCATAATAAATAGCTCTCTTTTCACTAACCATAATCCTATTAGAAATCTCTTTCTAGCTAACACAATTAACAAAAGGAAAATATAAATTAAACACAAGATTATAAATAAAATATTGAAAACAAATAATTTTAATACAAAAGTTTACTCATTTAATTCTTGTAAAATGTTATCCTCAGTGTGAGGAATCTGAAGCATGGGAAAGCTGAGTAACTTGCCTGAGACCACATATCTAATATGGGAAAAGAACCAGAAATTGAGCCCAGGGGGTCTGGCTCTTGAGTCTATTTGTATAAACACTATGCCATGCTAATCTTCCAAGTGTAATAATCAAGAGGTTCTATAACTCTTTAAATTTCTATGAAACTTTTAAAAGGAAAAATAAAACTAGTTGTTTTGAAATTCTCACATTAATCAAGCATAGCAACACATTTTATCCTCAGTGGATACTGAATAACTAAGTAGACATTTCTATGTCTTCCCAGAATGTTCCACAGAACATTGGCTCTGAGGAATACTAAGAAGTTTTATGTGAAAATGTTTGCAGCATCCAATATATTTGGAAATATCTAGCCAAAAATGAAATGGTTTCTTTTATGTGGAATTTCTTAGAATCCAAAGTGTACCAAAGTACTAAGAAGAGGATATGATTTGCTCCATTTTTCAAAACTATTAAATTACAAAATGTTCCTTTTTCAAACCTTCTTTCTTGGAGAAATAGCATTTGGCTAAACACATTTTCAAAATGTTCCTTTCAAATGCTGTACACTCTGAAGTCGTTATTTATAAGTGCCTTGAAAGTATTAGGCCTTGGAGAACAATATATCATTTCAATTTGCAGTTTTTATGCCTGACTCTTCGTCCTATGAAGAAAGAAGAGTTATCATAAGCCTACATATTTACATAATAAATGGAAAATGTTGACTGCCCATGTCTAATATTTGGTGTGCTTCAGTCAGATATTTTAGTTTCAAGCCACAGAAGCAGATCTGGGTTGATTTCAGTAGAAAAGGAATGAATGAAAATGATATCGGTAGCTCATAGAACCACAGGAGAACTGGAGATCTAGGCAGAGGCAATTTAAGAGGATGCTTAAAATGATGTCATAGGACTGCTGCCACCCAGCCACTTCCAATATGCTTGCATTGTTACAAGCAGTATTGCTGCCGCCTTGCAGCGGGTGCTACAAATGTCACTGCTTCCACTTTTGCCCCAGAGATTCAATAATCTTTTTGCTTACTCTTACCATTAGGAGGAACTTTCTAGTTTTCTCTTGTTACTTTTACCAGCTCCTGAGTCACACTCTGGGGTGGTCCATTTTATTGGTGGATCCAAGGAAATATCTGCAATTCCACTGAAGGGAAGCTGGGAAAGCAAGTGTCTAACAATTTTCTATTTCAGCCTCCTATCAGAACCAAAAGGTGATGAGTTCCTCAAACTCTAGGAAGGGATCCACGTTTTTAAACAGTTAAAATATTAGAAATTTTAACCACATGAGGGAGGGAGGAGATTGGATAATGAGAAAGTATTTAATGGGTACAGCATACATTATTTGGGTGATAGATGCGCTACAAGCCCAGATTTTGCCACTATGCAATAAAGCCATGTAACAAATTGTGTTTGTAACCCTTAAATTTATACAAATTTAAAGAAAACAAAATGTTTACCACGTGGAAGTACTAAATCTCCTGCATAAATTGAGCTCTGTATCCTTCACAGTCGATAAAGCCTTTGGCATGACGAGAACCACCAAGAAGTTATTTGCAAAGAAATTATAATAATGTCTGGCACATAGTAAGGGCATTAAAAGGGTTTTTAAACTAAAATGGCATAAAATAAAGTAGTCTTCCTACTGATGCTAGTGCCCAAAGGACAGTAAGAGAGCCCTGAATGAATCAGCATTGGAGAAGCACAAATGTTCACCAGCTCTCTGTTTCTTGCAGCCATGTTTCCCATCTGGTGAAGAAATGTATGAATGAATTCAAACAATAAAGAGAGACACTGCTCTTAATGCCAGGCTTCATTCTGATAGCTATAGATTGTCCTCACCTCCAGCTCTCCACTTCTTATTTGAATGAGTTTATGGAATCTGAACAGATCTCTTCTATTTAATTCCAGACACATACAGCATTTGTGCATTTATCGAGAAAGTCTGAGTCCTGTAACAGGAGCTTGAAGATCCTAAGACGTTACTTAAGTTAGATGAAGCTATATGTGTCTAGACACATTATTGTAAACTACAACTATAATCAAGTGATAAGCCTCTGAACATTTATCTTCTAGCTTATCTGCTTTGGAAAAACAGAGTCCATTTTCTACCCTCATATCATACATCAAAGTAAAGATCATGATTAATTGAAGCTCATGTCTAAACATCTAAAACTGGGTTGTGCATCCAGTGGAGTAATTCTTGGCCTCATGATTTATAAATTCCACATTCTAGATCTACTGCCCCTTTAGTCTGCACACAATAATTCTATCTTCATTAGGTTTAGATGAAACTTTCTTACTGACAAATCCAATCAAATTAACAATCATAGAACACATTACATAATAATTCACAATCAAAATCTTTTATAGGAGAATATATTCATATAGGGAATACAAATATTGAAAAGTATCTAACCCAATAAATGAGTGACTATGGAGGATTGGTGACTGTTTGTCTCCCTGAGGAAAGAAAGCAAAGTTGGTTACTCCAAGAATATAGCCATGAACCTGACCATCTAACTTCAGTCTCTTCATACACTTTCTAGTGGCTTACCATTTGGCTACCTTCCAAATACTTCCCAGGGATAAAATTGATGGTGGGTTTATTGGACACGCATTTGAACTTACTCTCCACCATCTTAAGCAAGAAAAAAAAGATCCATTTTTATGTCATGATTTTTCTTTCTTGTAAAATGTCTCAAGTGCAGGCACAGCCCTCAAGAAAGTAGGATAGTACTCCAGGGGAATTATGTATAAAACCCTTTATAAGACAATAAAGAATCTAATGTGGTACTTCTTTCATCTCTACTGTTTTGTGCCATACTTCTCCAAAGGAAATTTTTCTATAAAATAACATATTCTAAATTCCCATATCCCTCTTTTCGGACTCTATGGGCCCCCATTATACACGACTTGTGTTTTGGTAGCGTTACACATGGATAAACACACACACAGTCTTTCTCTGAAGCCCAGATTTCACCACTACACAATATAGCTCAAAATTGCACTTGTGCTTCTTAAATTTATACAAATAAGAATAAAAGAAATGCTCTCCACATGGAAGCGCTAAATCTGTATAAATTGAGCTCTGTGTGCATGCTTGCTTTTGATGATTACCTTCTCTATTGCCAGATTATAGTATCATCTACTATTAAGTATTTTAATTCAGAGCCTTCCTCTTCAGGGAACTTGCTTCCACACTCAGAAAGTGGCCCTCAACTTCACATGTTCTTCAACAAAGCTTAGAACTGTGTTAAGAGGCTATACTTCTGTAGTCTGTGATGGATCATTAGCTCATGCTTGGAACTACAGGAAACAATCCCCTGAATTAAATACAGCTTCCTGACTCCAGTTAGGAATAAAAATATAGAGATGAGACTGTTCTTTAAAAAAAAAAAAATCTTTCTTCATTCTCCATGAAAGCAATATTCTCAAGAGTTACAGTTATGTAGGAATTACTTTAGCAAAGACAAAGGGGAATTTTAAAAGCCACTAAAGTGTAATAGGGGAAAAATTAAAGCTGCTTTTCAAAGAAAGCTTTTCTCAATCTAAAAGCAGTTACTTAGGAAATTAAGCCCTTTACATATTTTCCCTTTAAATCTTTTTACTCTTCTTCATACATTCCCACTACTTGGATTTCTTCTGTAGGGTCTGCAGTACCCTGAAAAGCAAACCTTTGGCAACTTTCTCTGTGTAATTTTCAATTCATCTGTTTATGAACACCTCCCATAGAAAATGGTTTTGCTGCCTAGGTCCTTCCTCTTCTTTCCTTTGTTAATTTCCTCAATCTAAGTCACGTTATTGGCCACTCAAAGCTTGGGCATAAGAACAAGGTAAATATTGTGAAGGGGGCAAATGCTGAGAGGTATGGTTCCTTTAGATAGGATCTCCTGTCTCAGTCTCCTCTATAGTTTTAATTGAAAACATGACTTTTTATTTGCTGCTACCGTCTGTTGGATTCAGCATTTCCTCATGTTATAAGCAAAATATAAATTTTTAAGATAGATCAATAAAACCTAAAATGAGAAAAATATTTACTAATCATCACTTACTCTGAAATGCCCTTTGCCTGCCATTGAAGAAGTAACAGCATTATATAGAGTCGAGCTTAAATTATTTTCTTCTTCCTCTGTAGGCTTGCCAGAATAAGAAGAAAATTTTATACTTCACTTAATCACTCTTCACTTTGGAATTAGGCAGAATTAGAGGATGTTATCCTTCTGTCATGTTTTTGGCAATACAGGTATTGTCAGTTTTTTCTGTTTTTTTTTTATATGTATCATGTTTAATCATGAGAAAATACTGCATACCTCAGAGAAATTACAGGTTTAGTTCCAGACCACCACAATAAAGCAAATACTGCAATAAAGTGAGTCCCAGTTTTTTGGTTTCCCAATGCATATAAATGTTATGTTTACTCTATAACTATTAAGTGTGCAATTGCATTATGCCTAAAACAAATGTACATACCTTAATTTTAAAATATTTTATTGCTACAAACTGCTAATGATCATCTGAGCCTTCAGCAAGTCATATTCTTTTTGCTGGTGGAAGGTCTGGCCTCCATGTGGATGGCTGCTGACTGATCAGGGTAGTGATTGCTGAAGGTCGAGGTGGCTATGGCAATTTCTTAAAATAAGACAATAGGCCAGGCGAGGTGGCTCATGCCTGTAATCCCAGCACTTTGGGAGGCCAAGACGGGTGGATCACGAGGTAAGGAGTTCAAGACCAGCCCGACCAACAGGGCGAAACCCCGTCTCTACTCAGGAGGCTGAGGCAGAGAATTGCTTGAACCCGGGAGGTGGAGGTTGTAGTGAGCCAATCTCCTCACAAACCCAATCACTTTATCCTTTTCAACTTCTCATCTCCTCTGATTTATTGAACACTGTGTGTTTTTGAGTGTCAGCCTCAAAGTCTATCTCCTTGAAGAGCCTCAAGTGATTGCTACCCTCTGCCCACAGTCATATCCCTCATTTGAATTCATACTGCACTTATTTTCTATACTACTCGTTTTCCCTTCCACCTGGGCAGCCTTTTGCTTTTAGCTAACTTTTCGTACACCTATTTATGTTGTAACCAGAAAAAATATCAGAGATATACTTGAATATGTTCTGTTCCCCTAATTTATCTATCACATATCCTTGGACATTGTGACCTCACCAATACATGTTACTAGATGAAAGAGTGGAAAAGAGAAATGGGATTATCTTTATTGTATTAACAAAGCCTATACTTGTTAATTTTAACTTAAATTATAATATCGAATATTATAATAACAAATGACTTAACATTTGCTACTCAGTCAATGGCAATAAGGATGTTCTTGAGATGAAAATACTATATATAATTTTCAGAGTGAGATCAAAAGTAAAATGAGAAAAAATGATCCAGTTGTTATTAACAAAACTCGCTTTAAATAATCAAAATAATTCTTTTATTTTCAAAGTATTATAAAGAAATTCTAGTTGACTGTTCTTAAGACATTTCTATTGACTTCTATAACTGATAGATAGGTGGCAGTCTGCAAAATTATGCCTGCCTTGTAAGTAATGTTCTGCCTTTCTGTCATTCAGCCATTAAATGTCCCATAGCCAGGTGACAGCCTCAGGAAAACACATCTAGTATTATATCAAAGCCTGTCATTCTCCTTGCCAAGGGCCTCACCATAAAAGATGTCTGAATTTGAGCAAGCTACTGAAATTCAATCAAAATGGTAAGTTTATATTGGGAGACTGAGGACACTACAGATCACAATGACAAAGGGCAAAATTTTATAACTGCTGCAAAGATTAGGGAAAAATTTCTCGTAGATATTGTGAAAGTAGTTCCCCCTTTTAATTCGAAATAAAGAGAATACTATTTACAGTATTGCATTTGTATGTAAAATGTAATATATATGACTAAAGAGTCATTATTTCAAAAACTTAGACTCACTTGAAGCAGTGTGCTACTTATACATGAAAAGTTAAACAGATCATTGAAAAAAATTGGAAGGTTCAACAATGAACACTAAATGGGATTTCAGTAAGATAAAGGCAGCATTCTAATAAAAATAATTAAGATATTTTGAAGTAAATATATGTGGGAATATTAGGAGGAGTTACGTGGAGAAAAATAAAATTCCATCCATAAATCAAACTTATAACAAAATAAACCAAAAATATCATTAAAATTAAACATAAAAAAGCCATCAAAGATCAGAAGAAATGTCTCAAAATGTCTTTATAAATTTAGCATGGGGACTCATTTAGAGAATCCATAAAATAAAAGATAGATTATTTTAAGTACATTTAAAAAAACTATGTCACAATAAAAAAGAGTAAAGTCAAAAGGCAAGTAACAACAAAAAATTTTAGTAACATCCATTATAGACAAAGAAAGATAATCTTTCTAGTAGATAAAATGTCTAGAAATGAAGAAAGAAAAATTAAAACTAAAAAGGAAAAAAAGTAGAATAAATAAAAGTTCACCAAAAATAACTTAATAAATAATAAGGACAATTTTTATTTAAGGACCCTTTAAAATGGTCCTTAACAGAATAAAAATCTGTTGGAAAAATATCTTTTACTCAAGATATGAAAAATACTTTCTTTTATAATCATTTTGTTTGATATATCTTTTGCATCTTTCTAGATTAAAAGGTGTATGTTGATAAAGTTTGCAATTTTTTCATTTCTCTGTTTTTCATAAAACCATAATCAAATTTTGTTGAGGATGAATGAATATTCAGAAATGATATCAGCCAAAAGTTGAGTGGAGATGAAGACAATAAAGAAAGATAAAAATGGAAAAAGTTTGGTAACATTTGAACAAAAAAATTGATGCAATTGAGGACTGATTCAATATGGGGAGATAGCAAAGAGTAAAATAAGGCTCATGTATAGAATATATTAGTGCTGCTAATAGACCATTTGGAAATAAAAGCTGGCTTCAGGGGAATTTGTCAAGTCATCCAGTTTTAAATGTCTAACAAGTAACTGGAAATACAGGACACAACCTCAGGACAGAAGTAAGTGTTCCAGATATAGGTGAATTTCATCTAAATAGAGGAAATTGTTGAAGATGAGGGAGTGGATGAGACAGAGAAGGAGACAAGGTATAGAAAGGAAAGAACACACATTAGAAAAACTTTGTATTCTTCCAACAAGAGTAGGAAAATAAAACAGTTCTATGAAAAAGACAAGTGATATGCTCAGAGGTAAACCAGTACATTCCAGTGCTATATGCTCTAAAAAGTAAGTTTCTACAAGGAGGTGAAGGAGGAAGACAATTATGTCAAAACCCATGGTTCAAGTATAATTTCATTAGGGCCTAAGAATTTATATGAGTGTATATGTGTATGTATGTGTGTGTGCAAAATATTATATAACTATATATAAATATAAATATCTATAATATAAATGTGAATAAAAGTAAATATGAATTGATCATGCTTATTATCTACTGGCTACTCTAATAAATTATTTAGTTCTAAAATGTAATAACAAGCTATTTTGGAGAAATTTCTGTGCCCTTCAATTTTTTCACCCTAACTTTTACAGTGAAAAGCTAAGACTCAGTTGCTGCTGACTTTGGCATCACCATTTGAGAGATAATGAGGTTGGATCTTTCTGAGAACACTAAGAAAACTACCAAGCTTATCACTAATGCATTTAATGGAAAACTAGCTTCCCAAGTTTCTTGTACATTCATTTTCAGACCTTGAAAGGTCATTATGCTTTTATTAGTAGTACTTTAGACAAAAGATGAAACATTCTATTTGCAGCAAAAGGAGCCTACTTATATTCAATGTATTATCATTATTCATTATTCCATTAGTGTAATGGAGGTTACAGGTTTCAAGGAGTAAAACTACATTATAATAATAAGTGATTTTTTTCCCTATTGCCTTTTAAGTAGGCCCTGTTACATTTCTTTCTCACCATAGTCTCTACCATCAGAAACGGATGAGAATAACAAACAATTCAGACAAGGGTAATTTTAATTAAAAGTAAATATCTAACACTTTATACATGATGACAAAGATCTCACATTTTTGGTTTTTTTCTAATATTTCTCATGTACTGATTTCTTAAAAAAAATTTACATTTTAAGTGGCCTTTTTAGTCAGATCTTTCAAAATGGAAAAGAAAACATGAGATAAGAATGCCTATAACATGCACATCTAATCTGCCGTTATTTAGAGTTTTAAAAACTGCTTTTAGTTTGAAATGAAACACCTCAATAGAAATCATTCAATGCGACTTTTTAAAGCAGTTCTGATTTTTTTTTATTTCCTGCAGGAAAAGAAGGCTCACTTTTTAGTGTTATATAGGCACTGAAGCAATCCTTTTGATAGAGGAGAAGATAAAATGAATTAGAGAATATATAATAGATCTAATTATTTGCTACTTAGTACTTTAAAAATGTAAACGTGAGCAATTTGGGGAAAATGAGTATATATCTTTTATTTTCCTTTTTCTCTTTGCCTCTCCTTTTTTGTTTTACATTTTTTTTTTTTTTTGCCTTTTCTGGATTTCCTTTCAAAATTCATTGTTCCTGTGAATGATACCACCATCCTTCTGACTCATGAAGTTAAATTCTGACATTAGCTAAGACTGCTCTCTTCCTTTGCCTCACATCCAATTAGTTATCATGTTCTGTTGATTCATTTCTAGGATTGCCTCCATCTTCTCTTTTTTGAGCCATCACTTAATGTACCACCCTAATTCACTCTGGTTATGCTTCCACTTCATTTATTCTTGCATAAGTGCCAAATTCATCTTCTAAAAATGTAATTTTTATTATACACTTCCAAGTTCAGAAATTAGGCTTTTCATATGTGAACAAATAATAGCTTCTGTCATCCATATACTGCACCACATTTTTCAAAACATCGCAATATGTATAATCTACTTTATCTTTACTACAGAAAATACACATTTTGACCTTCTTTTACAAATGAAAAAGACCTAGTTATAAAGAGCTTAAGTAGCTTGACCTAGGATAGAAAGAAAAGTGGCAACATGTCTTTGGAGCATAGGTTCCTTGACTTACACTTGGTACTATTGCCATCTTACATACTAAGCTCAGTATTTAGGTTATTCATTAACATAGCCTCATTTTACCTACTTAACAGCATCTCTAATTATCCTCAGCTATCATCCCATAAACAGCCATTGGGCTCAGAAACAAGAGGACTAGAGGAGGAAATAGACAATAATTTTTTTAAGTTTCATTTGTAGTTCCTCTTTCATTACAAATCTTTATATTCAAAGCAGCAATTATAGTCAGACTTACAAGTTCAGGTATCTGAAAATGTGATGTCTCTACAGTGTTGATTCTCAGTACAGGACAGTTTCCTGGAGAAACTGGGCCAAAAGACTTAGACCACAGAGAGTCCCAACATATCATAGCAGTTACTAGAGTTTGAATGTCTCCTCCAAAACTCATGTTGAAATTTCATTGCTATTGAATTAACAATATTAAGAGGTGAGGTCTTTAAAAGGCAAGTAGGTAATGAGGACTCCACCCTCATGAATCGATTAATGCCATTATCACAGGAGTCAGTTTGTTATGATGGAAGTGGGTTCTTGATAAAAAGGATGAGTTTCTCCCAATTTCCTGTCTTGCAAGCTCAGTTGAACTTTCAGCATTTTATTATTCAGCATGAAGGCCCTTGCCAGATGCCAGCACCATGCTCTTGGACTTCCCAGCTATCAGAATCATGATCCAAATAATTCTCCTTTCTTTATACATTACCCAGCTTCTAGTGTTCTGTTACAGCAACAGAAAAACAGACCAAGATATCAGCGTATAGTAGGTAAACTGAAAGAATGGTTTTCTCCAAGGTTATTCTGTGCTTTTATTAACTGAAGTAATAGATAAACATTTACCAAACTTGATCTGAAAAATAGCAGAAAATAGGATTAATCCAATATGTGTCAGCACCTGACATGGTGGTTTCAACACATACACACACATACAGAGAGATGCATGCACAGGATGGAATGAAATAATGTATGTTTGCAGAACCCTTCCTCTGATCTCTGATAACCATTTCACTGAATTAGAAGCAGAATATTGAGCTCAAAATCGAAAAGAAGAGAAGGAGATTTAGCGGAGGATCTATCTTGTTTCTGATCGGAATTCCAGAACTGGATTAACACTTTCTCTAACTGACTAATAAAACATTATATCAGGGCATATGGACACATACTATAAAGAGTTTGGGCCAACTATAAAGTTGGAGGGTACAATCCCCAATATCGCCCTCACATCTGGACATCAACTGAAAGTTCAAAGGGTTCCTATCCCTACCCTCAGGATCAATAATTTTCATAGACTCACAAAACTCATTGAAAGATATTATACTGATGACTATGGTTTATTACTTGAAAAGGACATAGTTTAACATTAGCCAAGGGAAGAAGCACATGGGGCAAAGTCTAAAAGAAATATCAAATGCAGAGCTGCTCTTGTCCTCTTTCTAAGTCAGGACACATTAACCTCCTGGAATCCATGTGTGACAATACACATGGAGTATTGCCAATCAGGGAGCTCACTCTTAGCTTTTATGTCCAGAGTTCTTAGTGGGGCTTCCTGACATGGGCATGGTTGATTGATTGACTGCACATATGATTGACCTCAGTCTCCTGGTCAAATCATACCACATGACCCAGAACCTGCACCTTATATCACATGGTCAGTCTTTCTAGCATTGTCAGCCCCTGCCCTGAGACCTGGGTTTGGCTAGGCCCTGTCCTAACTCACATTGTTAGACTAAGCAGTATGACCCATGGCCTCCAAAGACACTCCAATCAGGCATGACATTCCAAAGGTCCAGAAATTACCCCCCAAAAGCTGAGGGTGAAGTCCAGACTTTCTTTTTTGGCAAGGGCAAATTCTTTACTACATACTGTACTAGACGCTACAGTAGAGTCAGGAAGAATATAACAGTAAATAAATCAAGGAATAAAATGCATGAAAATAATTTTTTTCAGAAAAAGAAAATAAATGTCACACACATTTGTGTTTCCACAAAACAAGAGATGAAATAAGACAACACTTAGCTACAAATGAAGCTGAGAGACAAAGCAGAAATGTAAAGCTAAAATAGATTTCAAAGGACAGTTTTTAAAACAAAGGTATACTACAGAATATTTATATGCATTAGATGAAATTAACAGTAGAATTAATATTGCTAAAAAACCTTATACCAAATAAGTTATGTGAATAAAAGGCTTGAGACAACTTTCAAATGTGGAAGAAGACAATTAAGTGAAAAGTGATCACCGAAATGACTCTGGTATTAAGGACAGAAAATAAAAATTCATAATATAGTTAATTACTGTTTTGGAAGAGTAGAAAAGATGAAACAGATATTTTCAAAGCAATTAAGAATTCATAAGTAATAACAGAAAAAAAAACTTTTGCACTATAATAAAAAAGAAAACAAAAATTAAAAGCAAAAGATTTCTAGATTTTTTAGATTGAAAAGTTCAAGTCAATATCTAAAAAGACGCCCGTAATTCCAGGACTTTGGGAGGCTGAGGTGGGAGGATCATTTAAGCCTAGGAGTTAAAGAGCAACCTGGACAACATAGTGAGATGTTTTCTCTACAGAATTTTTTTTTTTTTTGAGACGGAGTTTCGCTGTTGTTGCCCAGGCTGGAGTGCATTAGCATTATCTTGGCTCACCGCAACGGGTTCAGGTTTCACTGCCTCCAGGGTTCAAGCGATTCTCCTGCCTCAGCCTCCCAAGCAGCTGGGATTATAGGTGCACACCACCACAACCCGCTTATTTTTTTTATTTTTAGTAGAGATGGGGTTTCTCCATGTTGGTCAGGCTGGTCTCAAACTCCCGACCTCAGGTGATCCACCCGCCTTGGCCTCCCAAAGTGCTGGGATTACAGGCGTGAGTTAGCCAGGTGTCTAGTACAGGCTAGTACAGGCTGCATGCTTGTAGTCCCAGCTCCTTGGGAGGCTGAGACAGCAGAAATCACTTGAGATCAGGAGTTTGAGGTTGCTGTGGGCTATGATTGCGCCACTGCACTCCAGCCCGAGCAACAAAGTGAGACCATATCTCAAAACAACATAACAAAAAAGAATCTAAAAAGAAGTTAGCAGGCCTTAATTTCATGGAGAAAAAAAGAATTATAAAGTATTCAGCAGGAGAAAAAAAAATCTAATTTTTCCACAAAGACTTCTTTCAATATTTCAGTATTCTTTCAATATTTCAAATTTCTTTCAATATTCTTTCCAATAATATTTTAAGAAAAAAACATTAATTTACAAAGCTTTAAGGAAAATTTTCCAGAGTGAAAAACATTTATTTTCAAGTCATCATTTATTAAATAATATCAGAGAAAGGCATAATAAATAAATTTCAGTCTTAATAAATGAAGACTGAAATTGCATACTGTAAAAATGATATTTAAGTCAATAAGGATATCATTGATAACTATATAAAAGATAATGGCATAGTCGATTACTACTACTATGTGTGACAACAAATAACAAATTTGATTAAATAAATTGGAAGGCAAAATATTAAAAAATGAAACCAAAATACAATTAGAGAACAAAATAGCTTTTTATATAAAAAATATTTTGTGAATAAACATAGCAATAACAAAAGATACATTACCATTATTAACAAAAATATACAAGCTAAAAGACAAATTACCAACAATGTTAACCAAAGTATTTTCTATGAAACAGAATTTTCATAATTAATAGTTAATACTAGAATAAAGAAATTTTTGGTCAAAGAATTTCTCAGAAGTGTTAATATACTATTGTGATGGTTAATACTGAGTATCAACCTGAGGGGATTGAAGGATGCAAAGTATTAATCCTGGGTGTGTCTGTGAGGGTGTTGCCAAAGAAGATTAACATTTGAGTCAGTGGGCTGGGAAAGGCAGATGCACCCTTAATCTGAGTGGGTACAATCGAATCAGTTGCCAATGCAGTTAGAATATAAGCAGGCAGAAAAATGTGAAAAGAGAGACTGGCGTAGCCTCCCAGCCTACATCTTTCTTCCATGCTGGATGCTTCCTGCCCTCAAACATTGGACTCCAAGTCCTTCAGTTTTAGAACTTGGACTGGCTTCCCTTGCTCTTCAGCCTGCAAGCAGCCTATTGTAGGAACTTGTGATTGTGTAAGCCAATTCTTGATAAACTTATTATATATATATATACACACAATATATTATATATTATATATACTAGCTATATATAATATATAATCATATATATTAGCTCACTATATATACACATATGTATACACATATATACACATGTGTGTGTGTGTGTATAGATAGATAGATAGATAGATAGATAGATAGATAGATAGATAGATAAATAGATATTCCATTAGTTCTGTCCCTCTAGAGAACCCTAATGCAGATTTTGGTACCAGGAGTGGCTCTACAGGAATAAAATATTAAGGATGGAATTCCTTCATTGGTTTGGGGTTTCTAGAGTTGGCTACTTAATATGATTAGACCAAAAATGCTAATGACTCTACTTCTAATAGTATGGAGAATATTGATAAGTCCTTGGCATGAACTCTTTAGAGAGTTATGCAAAATAAATGCATTTGACACTCCTGATTCATCACTCATGACAGGCAAGGAGCTTAGTGACTCTATACATAATACCTTTGACCACATGTGGAGAACCAAGGAACAAAGCTGGTTGGTTGCTCCTAAGTTCAGTGGACAAAGTGTTGAAAGAAAATGATGAACTCAGGGATTCTATCTCCTGGCTTCAGAAGCAGATACTGAGCCTCAAATCTGCTAAGGTTGCCCTGAGTAAAAGTCTTATCTTACTCTTTTGTGGAAAAACAGACACAAGCTCTTGTCATGCTAGTTGCTGACCTGCAACGAAAGGTACATGCACAGCCTCACCAGGTGTCTACTGTTAAAGTGAGAGCACTGATTGGCAAAGAATGGGGCCCTGCAACTTGGAATAGGGACATGTGGGAGGACCCTGATGAAGCTGGGGACACTGAGTTTATAAATTCTGATGAAACATTTTAGCCAGAAAAAAAAACAGCATCCCCATCCCCAGTAGTGGCAATATCCCCTCCCCGACCCATGTTGCAGTCAGCCTTTCCACCTTTGTCTGAGGAGATAACCTCTGCACTATCTGAGGCAACAGTGATGGTCTCCTCTGAGGCAGTTGTCAGGCAAGATAATGTTGATTCTCCTCAGGAGCTGCCCCCAACACCTCTGTTTGCTTCTAGACCTATAACTAGACTAAAGTCCCAGCAGGCCCCTAGAGGTGAGGTTGAGAGTGTGACCCATGAAGCAGTGTGCTACAATAGAGTTTTCTAATTTATATCAACAGAAATCTGGAGAATAGACATGGGAATGCATATTAAGGGTGTGGGATAAGGGTAGAAGGAACATACAGTTAGATCAGGCTGAATTTATTGATTTGGGCCCACTTAGTAGGGACTCTGCATTTAATGTTGCAGCTCAGGGAGTTAAAAAAGATTCTAATAGTTTATTTGCTTGGTTAGCTGAAATATAGATTAAAAGATGGCCTACTGTGAGCAAGCTGGAAATTCCTGGTCTCTCGATTTAATGTAGAGGAAGGGAATCCAAAGGCTTAGGGAGATTGGGATGGTGTAGTATATTAGTCACTTTAGACCTACTCATCCCAGCTGAGAGGGTCCAGAAGATATACCCTTAACCAATGTTTGTGAAATAGATTTGTGAGGGCAGCACCTGTATCTTTGAAGAGCCCTGTCATTGCTCTTCTCTGTATGCCAGATCTAACAGTGAGAACTACAGTCACTCAACTAAAAAATTTAAATACAATGGGAATAATTGGATCCCAAGGTGGCAGAAGCAAAGTGGCTGCATTCAACCATCAAAGGCATGGTGAGTGTAGCTACTGTAATGGACAGCAGAGGCAAAACAGCAATCAGAATAGTCTGACTGGTGGAGAGCTCTGGCACTGGCTAATTAATTATGTTCCTGGAAGTGAAATTGAAAGAAAGCCTACTGCATTCCTACTTAATTTATACAAGCAGAAAATTTCTAGGTCGTATGGACAAAACACTAATTTAAATTATAAAGACAGAGAAGCACAGCTCCTCAATCAATTTTCAGGCTTGAGCCAGTTTATACACCCAGAACACCTTGAATGAAGGGGAGGCCAGGTCCCCTTGAGGAAGGACCCCACTACATTACTAACAATGTATGCAGTGAATCTTTCTTCCATCCTTCCCCAAGGAGATCTCTGGCCTTTTACCAGGGTAACTGCATTGGGGAAAGAGAAATGATAAGACATTTTGAGGAGTACTGGACACTGGTTCTGAGCTGATGTTGACTCCAGGAGACCCAAAACGTTACCATCATCCTCCAGTTAAAATAGGGGCTTATGTAAGTCAGGTAATTAATGGAGTCTTAGCTCAGGTGCAACTTACAGTGGGTCCAGTGGGTCATTTCCCCAGTGCCAGAATGCATAATTGGCATAGAGATACTTAGCAACTGGCAGAACCCCCACATTGGCTCTCTGACTGGTAGGGTGAGGGCTATTATGATAGGAAAGACCAAATGGAAGCCATTAGAGCTGCCTCTACCCAGAAAAAGAGTAAGTCAAAAATAATGTTGCATCCCTGGAGGGACTGCAGAGATTAGTGCCACCATCAAGGACTTTAAAGACCCATGGGTAGTGATTCCCACCATGTCCCTGTTCAACTCTCCCATTTGGCCTGTGCAGTGGACACATGGATCTTGGAGAGTGACAGTGTATTATTGTAAGCTTAACCAAGTGGTGACTCCAATTGCACCTGCTGTACCAGATGTGGTTGCATTGCTTGAGCAAATTAATACATCTCCTGGTACCTGGTATGCAGCCATTGACTTGGCAAATGCCTTTTTCTCCATTCTGGTCAATAAGGCCCACCAAAAGCCATTTGCCTTCAGCTAGCAAGGCCAGAAATATACCTTTACTGTCCTACCTCAGGAATATATCAACTCTTCAGCTTTGGGTCATAATCTTATTAAGAAAGACCTTGATTGCCTTTTGCTTCAGCAAGATATCACACTGGACCATTACATTGATGACATTATGCTGAATGGATCCAGTGGGCAAGAAGCAGCAAACACACTGGACTTATTAGTGAGGCATTTGCATGCCAAAGGATGGGAAATAAATACGACTAAAATTCAGGGATCTTCTACCTCGGTTAAATTACTAGGGGTCCAGTGATGTGAAACCTGTCAAGATATTCCTTCTAAGGTGAAGGATAAGTTGCTGCATTTGGCCCCTCGTACAACCAAGAAAGAGGCACAATGCTTAGTGTGCCTATTTGGATTTTGGAGGCAACACATTCCTCATTTGGGTGTGTTACTCCAGCCTATTTATTGACCGACCTGAAAGGCTGCCAGTTTTGGATATGGTCCAAAAGAGGAGAAGGCTGTGCAATGGGCCCATGCTGCTGTGCAAGCTGCTCTGCCACTTGGGCCATATGACCCAATAAATCCAATGGTGACTAAGGTGTCAATGGCAGATAGGGATGCTGTTTGGAGCCTTTGGCAGGCCAGCACAGGTGAATCACAGCAAAGGCCTCTAGGATTTTGGAGCAAGGCCCTACTATCTTCTGCAGATAACTATTCTCTTTTTGAGAGATAGCTCTTGGCTTGTTACCGGGCTTTGGTGAAAACTGAACATTTGACTAACATCATCAAGTCAGCATATAACCTGAAATGCCTATCATGAACTGAGTGTTTTCTTATCTATCTAGCCATAAAGTAGGTTATGCACAGCAGCATTCTGTCATCAAAGGGAAGTGTTATATACATGATCAGTCTCGAGCAGGTCCTGAAGGCACAAGTAAGTTACATGAGGAAGTGGCTCAAATGCCCATGGCCTCTACCCCTGCCACCCTGCCTCTTCTCCCCAAGACTGCACTAATAGCCTCATGAGGAGTTCCCTATGATCAGTTGACAAAGGAAGAGAAGACTAGGGCCTGGTTCACAGATGGTTCTGTACGATATGCAGACACCACGCAAAAATGGACAGCTGCAGCACTACCACCCCTTTCTAGGACATCCCTGAAGGACAGTGGTGAAGGGAAATCTTCCCAGTGGGCAGAACTTCAAGCAGTGCACCTGGTTGTGCACTTTGAACGGGAGGAGAAATGGCCAGATTTGTGATTATATACTGATTCATGGGCTGTAGCCAATGGTTTGGCTGGATTGTCAGGGACTTGGAAGAAACATGAGTGGAAAATTAGTGACAAAGAAATTTGGGGAAGGGGTACAAGGATGGACCTTTCTGAGTGGTCAAAAACTGTGAAGATATTTGTATCCCATGTGAGTGCTCACCAATGGGTGACCTCAGTGGAGGAGGATTTTATTAATCAACTCGATATGATGACGCGTTCTGTGGACATCTCTCAGCCTCTTTCTCCAGCCACTCCTGTCATCGCCCAATGGGCCCATGAACAAAGTGGCCATGGTGGCAGGGATGGAGATTACACATGGGCTCAGTAACATGGACTTCCATTCACCAAGACTGACCTGGCTGTGGCCACTGCTGAGTGCCCAATTTGCCAGGAGCAGACTGAGCCCTCAATATGGCACCATTCCTTGGGGTGATCAGCAAGCTACCTGGTGGCAGGTTGATTATATTGGACCCCTTCCATCATGGAAAGGGCAGAGGTTTGTCCTCACTGGAATATACACTTACTTTAGATATGGGTTTGCCTATCCTGCATGCAAAGTTTCTGCCAAGACTGCCATCCATGGACTCACGGAATGCATTATCCACTGTCACGGTATTCCACACAGCATTGCCTCTAACCAAGGCACTCACTTTATGGCTAAAGCAGTGCAGCAGTGGGCTCATGCTCATGGAATTCACTGGTCTTACCATGTTCCCCATCATCTGGAAGCAGCTGGATTGATAGAACAGTGGAATGGCCTTTTGAAGTCACAATTACAATACCAATTAGGTGACAATACTTTGTAGGGCTGGGGCAAAGTTCTCCAGAAGGCCATGTATGCTCTGAATCAGCACCCAATATATGGTACTGTTTCTCCCCTAGCCAGGATTTATGGGTCCAGGAATCAAGGGGTGGAAGTGGAAGTGGCACCACTCACCATCACCCCTAGTGATCCATAGCAACTTTTGCTTCCTGTTCCCACAACCTTAAGTTCTGCTGGCCTAGAAGTCTTAGTTGTAAGGAAGGAGATCACCTCTCCTGTTGTCTCATGCCTCAGATAAAGAAAAGAGGAGCAAAAACTAAGGAAAGGCAGAAATAAGATCAATAGTTAGACAGCTCCCAGACACTCCCCAGGACTGGTAGTTTAAAATCAACCCCGACCTAACCACTTGTATTATCTATAGATTCCAGACATTGTATAAGGAAACATTGTGAAACTTTCTGTTCTGTTCTGTCCTGATTACCGATGCATACAGCCCCAGGCATGTACTCCATGCTTGTTCAATCGATCACGACCCTTTCACGTGGACCCGCTTAGAGTTGTAAGCCCTTAAAAGGATCAGGAATTTCTCTCTCAGGGAGCTCAGCCCTGAAGACACAAGTCAGCCGACACTCCCGACCAAATAAAGCCACTTCCTTCTATATTTCGGTGTCTGAGGTGTTTTGTCTGTGACTCGTCCTGCTACATTTCTTGGTTCCCTGACCGGGAAGTGAGGTGGTTGACGGGCAATCAAGGAAGCCACTTAGGTGGCTTAGGCCTGCCCTGCAGAGCATCCCTGTGGGGGACTCCGGCCAGCTTGAGCGACGCGGATCCTGAAAGTGCTCCCAGGTAGGCATTTGCCCCAGTGGAACGCCTCGTCAGAGCAGTGCATGGCAAGCCCCTGCGTGAGATCGACGCAGTGGCTGAACACTGGGAAGGAACTGGCTTTTGGAGTCCGGACATCTGAAACATGGTAAGACCGGTCTTAGGAACTTGCCTACTCCATTTGAGTGGAAGTGTGGCCTGATCACCCACGGTGTGCCTTTATTGGCACTTTGGTTTTGGTTTTGATTTTGACTTGGCTTGAATTGCTTGGCAAACAGGCATGCCTTTATCAACACTTTGGCTTAGGTTTTAATTTTGATTTAGTGTGAATTAGACGAATGAGTGACCTTTTACCCTTTCCTTCTTGTAGTATGAGTGTTGTTTTGTCTCAAGAAAAAAACAAAATAAAATAAATAAGAAAAAAGTCATCAGAACATCCAAAACTTCCTCTGTTAAAGTGCATGTTACAGAACCTTAAAAAAGGTTTTGCAGGGGATTATAGAGTTAAGTTAACCCCCCAGAGGTTGAGAACTCTCTGTGGATGTAAATTAAAATTGCCCTCTTTTGATGTTGGATGGCCGACCGAAAGAACTATAGACAGGGAACAATTGGCCATGTATTTAAGGTGGTGACAGGGGTCAGAGGACAGCCAGTGTACCCAGACCAAATTCCTTTATATTGACTCATAGTTAAATATAGTATGATAAAACTGGCATAGATCCAGCCCTGTTTAACAGCTTATTGCAAAAAAGGCCAAAAGTAAAAGTGAGAGCAGCTTTGACAGCAGACAGAGTTAAAAGAGGAAATCCCAGAAACAGCAAGAGAAACCTGTTTTGCAGGAGCCGCCAGAGGTAACAGAAATTCTTCCTCCATATGTCCCAGCCTACCCACTCTTTACTGAGGTCAACAGCCCCCCAGGAACCAGGTTCAGGAGCTAACATGCCCCAGGTCTCACCTCGAAGGGGAGGAGCAGAGCCTTGAGAGGCCATGGAAGGAAGTCAAGATAGTCAAATGGGCACTCTCAAATCTGGCCATGCTCAAGCTATGCAAATCCCCCTGAGGGAGCAGTGATATACTGGGGTAGATGAGGAAGGGCATATGGTAGAAAGGCATGCCTTTGTGTATCAACTTTTCACCTCTGCTGATCTCCAATTGGAAGAACAATACCCCATCTTATACTGAAAAGCCTTAAGCCTTAATTAATTTGCTCCAAACTATTATCCAGACTCATAACCCTACTTAGGCTGATTGCCACCAGCTGCTCACGTACTGAGGACAGCTGGTTCACCTGCCTAGACCTGAAGAATGCCTTCTTTAGCATCAGACTAGCTTCTGAGAGCCAGAAGCTGTTTGCTTTTCAGTGGGAAGATCTGGGGTCAGGTGTCACCACTCAGTACACTTGGATCCAGCTTCCCCAAGGGTTCAAGAACTCCTCCACTATCTTCAGGGAGGCCCTGGCTTGAGACCTGCAAAAGTTTCCTGCCAGAGACTTAGGCTGCGTGTTGCTCCAGTACTTCAATGACCTCCTGCTGGGATACCCCACGGCAGTTGGGTGTGCCAAAGGAACAGATGCCCTGCTCTGGCACCTGGATGACTGTGGGTATAAGGTGTCCAAGAAGAAAGCTCAGATCTGCAGACAGTAGGTACACCGCCTAGGATTTACTATCCGATGGGGAGAGTGCAGCCTAGGATCAGGAAAAAAAAAAAAAAAAAAAAGGTCATTTGTAACCTACTGGAGCCTAAGACCAGAAGGCAGGTGAGAGAATTCTTAGGAGATGTGAGGTTCTGCATGTTCTGGATCCCAAATTTTGCAGTACTGGCCAAACCTCTGTACCAAGTCACAAATGTGGGCAACACAGAACCTTTCAAATGGGGTTCCCAACAACAATAGGCTTTTCATAAGTTCAAAGAAAAGCTCATGTCGGCCCCAGCCCTATGGCTACCTGACCTAACAAAGCCATTTACATTGTATGTGTCAGAAAGAGACAAAAATAGCAGTCGGAGTTTTAACCCAAGATGTAGGGCCTGGCCAAGGCCAGTGGCCTACCTCTCTAAATAGCTAGACTGAGTTTCTAAAGGTTGGCCCCCGTGTTTGAGGGCCTTAGCAGCAACTTCCCTGCTAGCACAAGAAGCAGATAAACTGACTCTTGGCCAAAACCTGAACATAAAAGCCCCCCATGCTGTGGTGACTTTAATGAATACCAAAGGACATCATTGGCTGACAAATGCCAGACCAACCAAGTACCAAAGCCTGCTTTGTAAAAATCTCCGCGTAACCATTGAAGTTTGTAACACCCGGAACCCTGCCACCTTGCTCCCAGTGTCAGAGGGCCCTGTCAAGCACAACTGTGTTAAAGTGTTAGACTAGGTTTACTCTAGCAGACCTGGCTTCCAGGACCAGCCTTGGGCATCAGTGGACTAGAAGCTGTATGTGGATGGGAGCAGCTTCGTCAACCCACAAGGAGAGAGATGTGCAGCATATGCAGTGGTAAACCTGGACACTGTCATTGAAGCCAAATCGTTGCCCCAGAGTACTTCAGCCCAAAAAGATGAATTCATTTCTTTAATTCAGTCTTTAGAACTAAGTAAAGGTAAGACTATGAATATCTACACTGACTCTTGGTACATGGGGCATTATACAAGGAAAAAGGCTTGTTAAACTCTGGAGGAAAAGACATGAAACATCAGCAAGAGATCTCGCAACTACTAAAAGCAGTGTGGAAGCCCCAAAAGGTGACAGTTATACACTGCAGGGGACACCAGTGAGCTTCCACTATGGTTGCTTTAGGGAACTCCTGGGCTGACTCAGATGCTTGGAAAGCTGCATCCACCCTCCACCAGGTGTCAGTAACAGCCCCCCTTCTCTCACAGGCCCCTGACCTTGTACCTACTTATTCTAAGAAAAGGAATTTTTCCAGACAAAAGGGGGACAAATAATAGAAGAGGGGTAGATCCAGTTACCAGATGGAAGGATAGCCGTGCCACAACTGCTAGGAGCTGCAGTTGTACTGGCTGTGCATGAGACCACCCACCTAGGCCAAAAGTCACTTAAAAAGTTGTTACACCAGTACTTCTACATCTCACATTTATCAGCCCTTGCCAAAATGGTGGCACAGTGATGTATTACCTGCTGGCAGCACAATGCGAGGCAGGGTCCAGCCTGGCATACAAGCTTATGGAGCAGCCCCCTTTAAAGACCTCCAGGTAGACTTCACAGAAATGCCAAAGTGTAGTAACAAGTATTTACTAGTTATTGTGTGTACCTACTCTGGGTGGGTGGAGGCTTATCCAACACAGAGAAAGCTCGTGAAGTAATCTGTGTGCTTCTCCGAGATCTTATTCCTAGATTTAGACTGCCCTTACAAATCAGCTCAGTTAACGGGCCAGCGTTTGTAGCTGACTTGGTACAGAAAACAGCAAAGGCATTAAGGATCACATAGAAACTGCATGCTGCCTACCAGCCGCAAAGTTCAGGAAAAGGTAAAAACGCGTAAACCGGACACTCAAGCAGCTACTGAAGAAATATTGCCAGGAAATTCATTTAAAATAAAATCAAGTTTTTGCCTATGGCCCTCCTCTGAGTCAGATGCAACCCCACCAAACAAATTAGGTATTTGCCCTATAAGATTTTGTTCAGTCGGCCACCCCCAAATCATAGTTATCCCAAATTAAAGGTAACCTCCAGGAACTAGAGGAATTCACCTTAAAAATGCAAATGCACGTTCTAAGAATAACCATACAACGTGTTCATAATTAAGAACATAAAAATGCCTATAAGCCTGACACTCCTTTAAATCCGGTGACTCTGTTTAGGTTAAAAAGTAAAATTTAATTTCTCCAGCATCCATATAGGATAGGCCCTATACTGTAATCTTGTCCACTCCCAATGCTGTTAAAGTTGCAGGTGTTACGTCTTGGATCCACCACAGTCAGCTAACACCGGCAGCTCAGGAGAAGTGAACCAGCCAGCAGGACCCAGATCATCCACTCCCAGCTGAATAAAGCTGTCTCAAAAATAATCACTAATAAAACTGGCAGAGCTTTAACCATTTTAGCCCGGCAAGAAACCCAAATGAAAAATGCCATCTATCAGAATAGATTGGCCCTAAACTTTTACTAGCAGCTGAAAAAGTAATCTGTAGAAAATTCAACCTAACCAATTGCTGTCTACACATAGATGATCAAGGGCAAGTAGTCAAAAATATAGTTAGAGACATAACAAAGCTGACACATGTGCCATTGCAGGTTTGGCATGGGTTTAACCCTGGGTCCCTGTCTGAAAAATGGTTCCCATCTCTAGGAGGATTTAGGACTTTAATAATAGGCATACTAATAGTGTTAAGAACCTGTCTATTGCTTCCTTGCTTGCTGCCCATATTTCTCCAACTGACAAAAAGTTGTATTACCACTGTAGTTCATCAGAAAACCTCGGTACAAATGTATTACATGAATCATTATCAATCTGTTTTGCAGGAAGACCTACTCAGTGAAGATGAGAGTGAGAACTCCCACTAATAAGTGAGATTCTCAAAGGGTGGAATAAGGAAGGAGACCACCTCTCCTATTGTCTCATGCCTCAGAAAAAGAAAAGAGGAAGCAGAAGCTAAAGAAAGGCAGAAATAAGATCAATAGTTAGATAGCTCCCAGCCGCTCCCCAGGCCTGGTAATTAAAAATCAACCCTGACTTAACCACTTGTATTACCTACAGATTCCAGACATTGTATAAGGAAGCACTGTGAAACTTTCTGTTCTGTTCTGTTCTGTCCTGATTACCAATGCATGCAGCCCCAGGCACGTACCCCATGCTTGCTCAATCGATCATGACCCTTTCACGTGGACCCCCTTAGAGTTGTAAGCCCTTAAAAGGGGCAGGAATTTCTCTATCAGGGAGCTGGGCCCTTAAGATGCAAGTCTGCCAATGCTCTCAGCCGAATAAAGCCACTTCCTTCTATATTTCAGTGTCTGAGGTGTTTTGTCTGTGGCTCATCCTGCTACAGTTCCAGAAGGAGGAACACTGTCACCAGGAGACACAACAACAATTCCATTAAACTGGAAGCTAAGATTGCCACCTGGACACTTCAGGGTACTCCTAAATTTAAGTCAACAGGCTAAGAAGGGAGTTACAGTGTTAGCTGGTGTGATTGACTTGGACTACCAAGATGAAATCAGTCTACAGAGGTAAGGAAGAGCATGCATGGAATACAGGACATCTGCTAGGGTATCTCTTAGTATTATTGTTTCTGGAATTGGTGGGTTCTTGGTCTCACTGACTTCAAGAATGAAGCTGCGGACCCTCGCAGTGAGTGTTATAGCTCTTAAGACAGCACGTCTGGAGTTGTTCGTTCCTCCTGGTGGGCTCGTGGCCTCGCTGGGATCAGGAGTGAAGCTGCAGATCTTCGCAGTGAGTGTTACAGCTCACAAAAGCAGCGTGGACCCAAAGAGTGAGCAGTAGCAAGATTTATTGCAAAGAGCGAAAGAACAAAGCTTCCACAGTGTGGAAGGGGACCCGACCGGGTTGCCAATGCTGGCTCGGGCAGCCTGCTTTTATTCTCTTATCTGGCCCCACCCACATCCTGCTGATTGGTAGAGCCAAGTGGCCTGTTTTGTCAGGGCGCTGATTGGTGTGTTTACAATCCCTGAGCTAGATACAAAGGTTCTCCACGTCCCCATCAGATTAGTTAGATACAGAGTTTCCACACACAGGTTCTCCAAGGCCCCACCAGAGCAGCTAGATACAGAGTGTCGATTGGTGCATTCACAAACCTTGAGCTAAACACAGGGTGCTGATTGGTGTGTTTACAAACCTTGAGCTAGATACAGAGTGCCGATTGGTGTATTTACAATCCCTGAGCTAGACATAAAGACTCTCCATGTCCCCACCAGACTCAGGAGCCCAGCTGGCTTCACCTAGTGGATCCCACACCGGGGCTGCAGGTGGAGCTGCCTGCCAGTCCCCCGCGGTGCGCTCGCACTCCTCAGCCCTTGGGTGGTCAATGGGACTGGGCGCTGTGGAGCAGGGGGTGGTGCTCGTCGGGGAGGCTCAGGCGGCACAGGAGCCCACGGAGGGGATGGGAGGCTCAGGCATGGTGAGCTGCAGGTCCCAAGCCCTGCCCCGCGGGAAGGCAGCTAAGGCCCGGCGAGAAATCGAGCGCAGCGCTGGTGGGCCAGCACTGCTGGGGGACCCAGTACACCCTCCGCAGCCACTGGCCTGGGTGCTAAGTCCCTCATTGCCCTGGCCAGCAGGGCCGCCCGGCTGCTCCGAGTGCGGGGCCCGCTGAGCCCATGCCCACCTGGAACTCCAGCTGGCCCGCAAGCTCCGCATGCAGCCCCGGTTCCCGCTCGCGCCTCTCCCTCCACACCTCCCTGTAAGCTGAGGGAGTGGGCTCCAGCCTTGGCCAGCCCAGAAAGGGGCTCCCACAGTGCAGTGGGGGTGCTGAAGGGCTCCTCAAATGCCACCAAAGTGGGAGCCCAGGCAGGGGAGGTGCCGAGAGCAAGCGAGGGCTCTGAGGACTGCCAGCATGCTGTCACTTCTCATTATCATGCCCCTGTGATTAAGGTCAATGGGAAACTACAATAATCCAACACAGGCAGGACTACAAATGACACAGGCCCTTCAGGAATGAAGGTTTGGGTCACTCTACCAGGAAAAAAATCACGACCTGCTGCAGTGCTTGCTGAAGGCAAAGGGAATACAGAATGGGTAGCAGAAGAAGGTAGTCATCAATACCAGCTATGACCACGTGACCAGCTGCAGAAATAAGGACTGTAATTGTTATGAGTATTTCCTCCTCCTTTTGTTAAAAACATGTTTGTGCATGTATACACTTATACTAAGAAAATATCTTCATTTTATTTTCTTTCATCTTTATCATCTGACATAATATTTATTGATTTTACATCAGCATTTAAGTGTTGTTAACTTTATGTAATAGCATTTGGGTTGGAGATTGGTGCATTTCCAGTTGTACGAAGACAGTTGTATTACGTTAGGCATAATTATGACCTCATTATTTTCTTTATTTGAAGATTATGTATGATGTATATGGGTTCAAGTTGACAAGGGGTGGACATGTGATGGTTAACACTGAGTGTCAATTTGATTGGATTGAAGGACACAAAGTGTTGATCATGGGTGTACCTGTGAGGGTGTTGCCAAAGGAGATTAACATTTGAGTCAGTGGGCTGGGAAAGCCAGTCTCACCCTTAATCTGGGTGGGCACAATCTAATCAGCTGCCAGTGCAGCTAGAATATAAGCAGGCAGAAAAATGTGAAAAGAGAGACTGGCGTAGCCTCCCAGCCTGCATCTTTCTCCCATGCTGGATGTTTGTTGCCCTCGAATATTGGACTCCAAGTTCTTCAGTTTTGGAACTTAGACTGGCTTTCCTTGTGCCTCAGCCTGCAGATGGCCTATTGTGGGACCTTGTGATCATGTAAGCTAATACTTAATAAACTCCTATATGTATATATATATACTCCCATATATATATTCTCATATAAACTCCCATATACATAAATATATATATATATTCATTAGTTCTGTCCCCCTAGAGAACCCTGACCAATACATCTGTTTTTCATTCTGAATGCCCCAAGTTTGTCTACTTACCCTCTCCTTTCCCTCACTGCCTCAGAGCATCTCAGCCAACAGACAAAACTTCCTCACCTTTGCCTCTTTAATGGGTACAGAGTTTCAGTTTGGGAATACAGAAAAGTTCTGGAGATAGATTGTGGTGATGATTGCACAACAGTATAAATGTACACTTAAAAGAGTTAAAATGATAAATTGTATGTTACACGTTTATAACCACAATTAAAAAAAACTGTAAATTATCAAATTACCAGAATTCCTTGCAGGTAGCAGAGTACAGACAACATATCTATAGCTACTGATCCTTATTCTGAAATCTGCTGAAACCAATTTTATCCCGCTTTATCTAAATTCTTCCTGCATTGAAAACAGGCATGATGTCTGAAGTATCTGACTACCTAAAGCCCATTAATAAAGGCAAGGGAGAAAAGCCAAGAAAATTATCAAAACTCAGTCCAGACTTCTTAGAGTTGTAGAATCAATTTCTTCTGGTAACTGTTTTGAAACTTATTATAATAATAAAATTGTATTTTTTAAACAACTGAAGTTGAATGAATTTCTAAATGACATCTCTTTCTGCATGTACATATGTGTACTTAGGCGTATAACACACTTTAAGAAAAGCTAGTTTTACTAATTCTTTTACTAAATCTATACAGGGGCTATAAATAATATTTGCTGCCTTAATAGAATTGAAAATTAAGAAATAATTGCAGTCTAGTGTTCTTAGAGATAACAATGATGATACACTTTTCTTGGCTTTGACCATCAATATATTACCATTAATGTTCCATTATTATATTTAAAAGCATTATTACCTAAAGCAGGGCTTCATAAACTTTTCTACTAAAGGGCCACATAGTAAATAATTTAGGTTGTGCATGTCAAATGGTCCTAGAACAACAAAAGCCATAGACAACACATAAGACTCAATAGGACAGTGTACCAAGAAAACTTTATTTTTAAGAATGAATGGCAGTCCGGTTTTGGCCCAAAGCTCATCATTTTCCAGTCTCTGACCTTGAACAAAACAGCAATATCTTTGTTTCTGACTTATCCTGATAGTGTCTTCCACCTCATTAACAGCCCAAGCACATTCTGTATCACTCTTATCACTCTTACCTCTTCCCTGTATCCTACATTGATTTCTCCCCTTTAATCTGCCAGTCAGAAATCTTAAATGCAGAAGTCCACTACCACTGAACTATGAGATCTTGGATTCTCTTTAATTTGTAGAAGTTCAATTTGTGTTGCTGGACATGCTAAGTTTTCTGCAAACGTGCTTGATTGCTAAACATTTGATCTTTTAAATTATAATGTAGATTACATGTATGAGGATAAACTTTGCCATATCTGTTTAAACTCTGGTCAGGTTGATTGTTTAAGTGCCATAAATATCACTTATGATTCTAGACAATTCATTTTAAAATAGTAAGTCAATATTAAGCATTTACTGTTTATGTGAATCTATTCAAAAAGACAAAAGTCTTAAGACAAAGGTCCAATGTAAGTATTAATAGTTTCCCTTTGCAAAACTGTATTTTGCTCCTGTTATTTTCATGAGAATTGGCTCTTCTGAAAGGTGTGCTTAGTCAAGGAGTAAATAACTCCCTCCAGAAACCACATAAACCTTATCTACACTGCTTACATCCTTCAGTGCGCTGGGAACCAATATATTTAAGTTCTGACCCTCAGGTCCTTGTGTACTTTGTACTATCTCTGGAATTTTCCCTTCTCATCTCATTTCCTCAACTCCATGTTGAAGACCTCTGATCTCTGGCTGGCATTACTGTATAAAATCTTGCCCAGTACTTTTTCAAAAAGGATTTTAAAAGCACTGAAAAGAAAATAGTAAATAAAAAGTAATTTTAATTATTAAAAATGTCGTGTTCAAAAGATAAGTTTTTAAAATATTAGTTGAAAGTATAGTTTCTTTAAAATGCAAGCATGGTCAGCAAGGGAATTCAGGTTATGTCTCCTAAACAGGTGAAGATCACAAACACAAGAAGTCCAATATATTCTAATATAGTGATTATAACAAATAAACTGCAGATCCAAGTTAGGTTGGATCCAGATGTTCTGCTGAAATATAGCAGAAGAGCTACAAGGCAGAAGGGTAATGCATGTTAAGCATACAAACATTCACACCTGTTGGAAAATAGATCTGTGTATGCACTATAATCTTTTTTAACATTTCTTTTTTAAAATCTTAAAAGGACATGCCTGTAATCCCAGCACCTTGGGAGGCAGAGGCAGGCAGATCACTTGAGCTCAGGAGTTTGAGACCAGCCTAGGCAACATGGTGAAACCCTGTCTCTACCAAAAATACAAAAAATTAGCCAGGCACAGTGGTGTGTGCCTGTGGTCCCAGCTACTCGGGGAGCTGAGGTGAGAGGAATGCTTGAACCCTGGAGGCGGAGGTTGCAGTGAGCTAAGTTTATGCCACTGCACTCCAGCCTGGGTGACAGAGCGAGACTCCTGTCTCCTGTCTCAAAAGAAAAAGAAAATTAAAGGAAATATAAAATAAGTAAAATGTAATAAGTGAATCTGCTTCTTATTCAGGGCAAAACAAAATAATCAATTTCAGCAAAGATGGAAGCAATGAATACACATTCTAGAGCAGATTGCCATGGAAGTGATGGCCAGAAAACCACTGGTATTAAACAACCAAAATATTTTACAGTTAAATTATTCATTGACTCTTAAGCTAGAACCTTAATTACACTTGACATTAAATGACAGTGATTACAGGTATATTAGGTTAAGTGACCTTAGTCTAGGTTTCGCTATATAAAACTTTTACTCTAAAGAATATTTTTATTTATTAGCTCTCAGGCTGGTTACTAGTACCTCATTGTTCCCATCTATAAAAAGAAGATAATGTTTACAATTGGTTTGAAAAGTTAATGATATTTTGTTTATAAATTGTGGAGCATAGAGCCTGTAATATTATATCTCAATGAATATTTTTATTATTTTAAGGAGAGCCTAGCCTGCTTGAAGGCATCAGATAAGTATACACATCATTTTTCTATGAGTCAAAAACTTGAAAGATCCAATTAAAATGATATCCACGAAGGGTTATGAGACTTCAAATGAAACAGGAGCTAAAGACAAACATAATCATACCTGGGAATTTTATTTCATGATAGAAAAACATCTTTAATTGTCACCCAGTGGTACAACTCTAGATGTAGGACATTTTCCCTGGGGTTGGGGTACTTTTTAAAAGTAGATCTAAATATCATAATTGTTCCCAATAGACCCAACTACATCAGCATTTCCCAAAAACTACACTAGGTTGGATGTGGCATTCTTTGAAAGATGCAGTGTTTCTTTGAATAGTACTAAGATGATATTTCTCATATTTATCTTGCCTTCCTGAAAACTATTTCTCTTGTTGTTGTTCTGAAGAAGAGGTGGGGGTCAGGGGGCTGTTTATAAACTTATTACAAAAGACTTCCAACCTCAGAGAAACAGTTTGAAGAAAGGCAAAGGAGGCAGAACAAATCATCCTGGAGAAATAAGAAGGCAGAAAACACTTGACAAAGGCAAGTCAAGCCTAACTACATTTTAATAGAGACTGTAAAAGTTCCATTATCTGGCCAAATCTCTTGGAATCCCCTTTGTCCTTTCTGTAAGTCCATCTTGCAGCTTCTGTGTACCTTGCTTCTCACAACCTGCACCTGTGACTCTCTTCAGAGACCTTCCTTTGAGCTCCTGGACCACTTTTCCTCTCATGCACAGAGAGCTAGAGATGCCCAGGTGTGAGTTTACATTATATCCCCAGGGCGGCCTTAGCGAATGGCCAACTAGTGCTGCAGATAGAAAGCCGAAGGACCTTGTCTCAAATCAAGACAGACTGTAAGGCGTAAGTTTCATTTTTAAGTTTCCCCAGGAATCAGACTGAAGCTGGGATTTTATGTGAAATTATACCTCTGTTTGGCTTCCTCTGCTTCCCTTTCTTGATTCCTCTATCACTTTAAAGATTTCTCTTGGATCATTTCCTTAGGAAATCATTAACAAATCCTCCTAACAAAAGCTGTCTCAGTGTCAGCTTTTGGAGAATCTGACTCCAAAGAAGGAGACTGTGAAAATTTTGGTTGATTTTTAGTAACTTTATACATTTCCTCATATGTGTTATTTTTGTTGCACCCATCTTCCTTGTCCTGATCTGTTTCTCAATGGTGAATGTAAATTTAAAAAAAAAGAATGAAAATCAGGCAGATAGAAATTGGATATGTTAGAAAATATTATACCATACTTTGTACTCAACTGGACCTGAGAATGGGGAAAGGAAGAGTGGGAGAACCAAATCTCAGAGAAGACAGTGTAGACAGTTAATCAGAAAAAAAGAAAAGTCATCTAGCTAAATGGATAGGGCCTGCAAAGCAAAGACAGTTCTTGTGGTCTTGGCCCAGCATTGCTAAGAATGTGGCCAAAGATTTCATTGGTTGAAGTTCCATCATAATCCTGTTGAAAAATGAATCGAGCAGAAGAGGCCTGCAATGTGCCAGAAATCAGGCATCTAATAATTTGGCAGTCTCTCATAAAGATGATTATGTAGAGCTAGAAAGGACCTAAGCTACACTTACATCTATTTTACTGAAATGCCCCAACAAGCCTAAATTGAATGAAATTGTTCTTTCCAATTTCCACCTTATCATGTTATCTCATATTTAAAATAACTTATTTTCTCTTTAGTTCAACATTCATCTTATTTATGTAACTCAATTTCAGTAGCATATTTGGAGGCCAGTGAGTGTTGGAGTTGCTGAGTGTGGGGCAGAGTGCAAAGGGAAGGATATGATAAACAATATGATTTTTATCAGAACCTGAATCTCCTTACAAATCTCTGATGAAAATTATTGTAAAAATGTTATTCATTATTTGCTACAGACCTACAAAAAGTAGCTTGAGACAAATAAAGATTAAAAACTACCCACAAGAGAACAAGGTCAACTCATTGACCTGGCATTCTCAGAAGAAATTCAAATTTTGAACGTTGTAGTGAATGCATTTATGCTGATACAGTTCCAGTTCTAGAGAATATACTTATGTAGGTACAGGTCCATCTGAACAGGTAATACATAAAAGGCTAGAATCTGTCAATGTCTCTAATATTATTCTAGCTTGTGATGAC